>NW_003315929.1:0-71551 GCF_000001405.40 Homo sapiens
AACCCTCTGTGCCCGTTTCCTCCTGTATAAAATGGAGACAATGATAATACAGGAAAAGCTTCTACCTCTTAGAGGTGTTGTGGGGAGTTACCAAGTTCATCTCTGTAGGATGCTTGGCACATGGAAGTTACTATAAAGACTAGCTGCCATTCTTCAAATTGTGACTTCCCCAGACACCAGTTCAATGTGCTTTCTTCCCACTTGATTCAATGGCAGCCGTCTCGGTGGTGGGACACTCTGCTTGCTGTGAGGAGGATGGAGGAGAAGGGGCTCCTCGGGGCCAGGCCACAGGACCCTCAGGATAAGGCCCTGCCTCCATGTTCAGGGCTTTCAGCAGCTACAGACCTGACGGGGCTGCAAAAAGCTTTGCAGGGAAGATGGGGGAGGGGTGTATGCAAAGAAAAAGCTGACAAGCAGTCTGCTTTGGAACAGGGCTGGACACTCTGTGTTGGGGAGTCCAGGGCCCCCAGCATGCCCCCGGCAGCAGGGAGGGCATGCCTGGCAACCTTCAAAAAGTGAATTTCCAAAGAGCACCAGGAGGAAACCTTCCAGAACCTTCTCACAGAACCTTTGGATGGGCCTCTCAGGGCGCTGTTTTCCACCGTCCACTTAGATCTTAGTCCCTTACAAAAAGGTACCTCCCTTACGGGAGATGACTGAGGTGGGGGAGAATTAATTCCTGTTTTCCTGCCCTCATGGAGGATGTCAAGTAAGAAATCCGGAGAATTTCTCTTTCTCCAGTTCAGTGTGCTCAAAGGAGACCCACAGGACTGGAGGATCAACTGGGACAGGAGAACAGAGCCTTTCTTGTCTAAAACCAAGTCAGTTCCACAGAATAAAAGCTCATTTAGAGAACTCCTGGGCTCTGGGCGCCTATAGGGTGGGTAGGAGCTAGTCAGTCAGTCTGTTAGGGAAAAGACAAACTCATCACATGATCCCAAGCCTTCCCTGCAACAAGAAGACACTTGGCCAGGCCAAGAGGTGAAGTTCTTGTTTATTGTTGCAGCAACTCTTATACAGACATTAGCGTTCAGTTAAATAAAGGAAGATAGATAGCACAGTAAATACATCACAACCCCAAACTGGATGACTGTGGCCACGGGACGGAGGAGGGAGGGAGGGAGGGACCAGTGACCAGACTGTCAAGGAAGTACATTCAGTGGGTGTGCGGTGTCCACATTCCAGGCTCACGTGTAGATATATTTTATTTATATATTTATTTATATTTATATATAGATCATTGAGTTTTGTGTATACAAAGAACGATATTGTTACAAATACAATACTATACTTCTCCCGACACTTTACAATAAGCTCTATTTCACCCTCTTTACAGAACAATAGTACAAGTTCATACTCTAGGTGCTGTGCTAAGTATGTACAAGAAATGTCATTCCCACACAGTCCTCACACACTGCCTTGATGGAGGGGAAGAAAGATCGAGTTGTGTGCTCAAGTCAACCTAGGCCAGGGAAGGAGACACATGAAACTCAAACCAACAGGTGGCCTGTGAATGCGAGTAAACACATCTAAGGAGGGGCGGCCCCTGGTTGTAAACATTGGTAACGGCTACACCACTGGGTCGAGGGACCCGGGAAGGGCTCTGTAGATGGTTTTCATCTGTGTGCGGGAGGTGTTGGTGCCCACAGGGTGAGGGGGGCAGAGGAGCGATGGGGGAGGTAGTAGGTTACTCTGGGACTCCCTGAAGGCGGTGTTGATGGGCAATGTTCAGAAAGCAAACCCGTGCACAGGGACCCGGCACCCCTGCCATGCACTCCTAGGAGCCTGCTCTGGCGAGGGAAGGTGTCGCTGGAGAAGTGGGCTCCAGGCATTGGTCTTTGGGGGTTTCTTCCTCTCATGAACCCAAGGCTGATGGTGGCTCCCTGAAATGCTCACACTGGAGAAAAGGCAGGATGGGTTCTGGTGCCTCTGCCTGGACCAGGAGGGGGAGGTGAACGTGGGAGTCCAACCCCAAAGCTGAGCCACCAGCACACCCTGGTGGAGCAGCCACAGCAGCTCTGTGCCCTCACAGCGTTTGGGAAGGCTGCCCTGTACATAGCCTTCCCATTACATGGGGTATTTAGATATTTACATGTATAACTATATATACTGGGATGACAGAAGGGAAGACCACCACTTCTCTTGGGACTTTCAAAAAATCTAGCGACTTGCTTTTAAGACTGTGGCTGCTGAGGTGACCATACCTAGGCTCACTCCCTTGCCCCAGTGGTAGTGGGAAAAAGAACCCACTTCAGCTGGGTGGACCTGTACCGAGCTCCAGCAACTTCCACTCACTGGGTGTGAAGACACACCTGGATTAACACAAAAGAATGTGGCAGAGAAATCTTCTCACTCTAATGTTACAATGTCAGTCCTCTAGGAGAGCTTGCAGAATTGGCTTTTTCAGCACCTCTCAAAGTTTACAAGGTTTTTGTGCAATAGGAATAGAAAGTATATTCTCTCCTTTAGGTGAACATACATAACCGTTATGTGCAGGTTGTACAGGGATGCACTACTGGAGTTCTGTCCCCTGGCCAGTCGTGGGCGGGCCTCTGTGGCACTGCCCAGGTGCCTAGGGACAGACAGGCATGGGCCCCTACGATGATTTTCCAAGGCTCCTGATGCCTGAAATACCACCAGTAACACTTCATTCCTGTTCTATCCACTCTTATTGGCAGAGGAAAGATGAACTGGCTGATGACTCTTTAGTGTCTCACTGTATCACCAGATACTCTACAGCAAATGGAGAACCCTGGCCATGGTTCCTTCCTGGTCCTCACGTTTGTGATGGGTTGACCTTGAGGCTGGTCTCCCAGAAACATTCTGTAAAGCATCCTTCAAAGAAGTCCTGGGGAGCTTTACGGACCATCCCAGAGCCCCTGGCCCCACCGGGTGCCACTCTCTGCAGCAGCAGAAGTCCCTTTCCCCCCAGGGCACCTGGGCAGCCAGCGGCCTCCCTTCCTCAGGGCTCCTTTGTAACACAGTGAAACTGAGAGTGCCACTGCTCGTTCCTGTCAAGCACTGAGCTTCCCTGATTCTAAGCAGAAAACTCAGAAGATGCAGAGATCTCGGGGAATTGATCACAGAACTCTCTGGTTGAAGTCTCTTGTCCCTAATCTTGTTATAGTCACTTTGCTCCCTCCTTAGAATCCCTCCATTCTCTCTATAAATACATGCTACCCACCATTTGCTCACTGAGTTCCTATTTCCATAGACACAACATAAATATCTCGGATGCAGAGAACAGGGACTATATTAATTACAAAATATAATAGTTTCTCTTCCCCTGTCTCTACTGAGGTCATGAATGAAACAAAACAAAAGCAAAGCCAAATCACACCTCACATGAACACAAAATGCTCTTTGGACCAAGTGAAAACTGGCTCAGAATTATAATATTACTAAAACATCTACACTGAACTGAGACGGAAGCATAAATATGAGGCACCTGATGAAAACACGGAACAATTCCACACCAGCCAAAAATGCTCTCAGGCCCACAAGGCAGCAAGAGGGTGTTTATGGACCACATCTGGGGATTCTGAGGCATAACTTGAGGTTGCTATTGTCTCCTTAATTTTGTGGTTTATGTACTATTCTGGCCTTTCCAATATCACATCCGCCTAGTGGCCCTGAGCAGAGAAGAAAGTTGGTCTTGCCTTGGGCCAGAAAACAAGACGCAATTGCACCTGCAGCTTGCCTTCTTGGGAACAGTCCCTCCTTCCCAGACTCCTGGGATGTGTGTTCGGCAGGGAGGGGAGTCCAGGAGGAGGATGCTTTAAGCCAAAGTGGTGCTGGAGGGGCTGGGCCTCAGCGCAGAGAGGGCAGGTCTCTCAGGATGAGGCTGAGCAGCCCCCGCCTGCCTGGCCACCTGCCAGGGAAGGGGCCTTCCAGAGAGGTGGGTTTCCAGGGGATCTGTGTGCCTAATCTTCAGCTTGTCTCACTGGTGGTGGGAGCAGGGAAGGGTGATATGCAAATGGGACTGTGTGTGTGTGTGTGTGTGTGAGAGAGAGAGAAGCAGACAGTACCTGCCTGTGTTTATCTAATGGTTGATAACTTGAGGACAACCTGGTAAAGCTTCAGATGCCCCATGAATTGCCAAGCTCTCTGTGACACTATGGTGTCCTTGCCCAAGGCAGTTATTTCCCCTTTTATCCTGGGGTGAGAAGGCTCGTATTAGAAAACACACATACGTTGAAATTAGAACTAGCAATAGAAGAGGTTTAAGGTTGGCTCAGAGATTCTGGGAAGAAATAATGTATGGTGCCCCAACTACATGGCAGGCAGTGCATAACCTTAATGACGTGGGCTGGCCCTGGGTACTACCACATTCCCACAGATAAACTCAGAGAGCAGGGATCAGCAACTGGGTTTTAGGCACTGCTGAATCAGCTGCTTTGCTGCCCCGCGAGCTCCTTTTAAGAAGTCTGCACCTCCTGGGAAGGGAGGATTCTCCCTCAAGCAGTGACAGCCCACCCCCTGGACACACCCAGAAAGCCCTCCAGGATGGTCCTGGGTCAGTACCAGGTGGGTGCTGGCTGCTCTCCATCCTCAAGGGAGTGCATACGAAACTTCCCTGGTATTGAAAAAAAAAAAAAAAAAAAAGCAAATCGGAGAGAGTAAAGAGGTCCTTGTGGATTCTTCTCTTCCTGTGTAAAACCAAATGCTGGGCGCGAGAGGGGAAAGTCTCAGTGGACACAGGGATGCAGCACGAGAAACACAACCACGAAGAGGAGAGTCCTCCATGCATGCCACCGCGTGTGGCCGCGGTCAGATGTAAACAGGCTGCTCCTGGGCCGTCAGCAGCCTGTACATCGCGGCTGGCATTGTCTTCATATGAATCTGAGGGTAAAGAACACACTTTAGTGGGGGGCTGAGGCTGGGGGCTGGCTGCGTGGGCACTGCCCAGGGCTGGCCAGAGAGGCAGTGCCTCTCCCACAGAGGGCTTTGAAGATACTCCCTACCGCCCAGCCACCACCAGGGACCTGACCCAGGGTGGCCTCCAGGAACAGTGGAATCCACTGACTTTCTCAAAAGCTTAGGGGTGACAGAAATGAACAACAAAAACCAAGCAAGGCTTATTTCTCAGTCAAATGCTCTCGCTCTCACCAGACCCTACCCTTTTAAAAGCAAGAACTCTGAAAATGGAGGAAGGGCTCCAGGCTTCTCAGGGTGCCTGCCTCCCTCATCTCTCTTGGCAGATGAGGCAAGGATGACAAATCAGCCCTAGAACAGCAGTGATGATTGATAGCAGTGATGAATGACAGCAGTGATGACTGACAGCAATGAATGACAGCAGTGTTGACTGACAGCAGTGATAAATCAATGACAGCAGTGATGACTGACAGCAGTGGTAACTGACAGCAGTGTTGACTGACAGCAGTGATAAATGAATGACAGCAGTGTTGACTGACAGCAGTGATAAATGAATGACAGCAGTGATGACTGACAGCAGTGATGAATGACAGCAGTGATGACTGACAGTAGTGATGACTGATAGGAGTGATGAATGGCAACAATGATGACTGACTGACAGCTGTGATGACTGACAGTAATGACACGTCATGCCACACTGCACTGGGGTCACACCTCTGGAAGGCCACTTTGTTGATTCAACTTGAGTCTAAGACTTAAATCTTTTAAAAACATTTGGGGAGATTAACTGGGGAAAATGGAGGCAACTTAGGCGGCCATACAGAAAAGCAACAGAAAGCTGAGTGTTAAAAAGAGAAGGTGAGCACATCAGATGAAAGAGAAGGCTGAGGGTGATCTGATTCCATTTCATGGAGGAGCTCCCAGATAACTGCTTGCTAATGGGTTTGGCATTTGGTCAGAGACAGGTCTGCTTGTTGGGGAGTGTTCAGGATTGGAAACTCAGGGAGCTTTCCTGGAAGGTCTGCTCAGGGCCACGGTGAGCATACGAGGCAGGGGCACCAGACGCGGCCCTCAGCACCACCCTCAGCCCCGGACCTCTCCTACCTCCCCAACAGCATTGGAGAGAATGTGGACGATCTTCTCGTGGGGGGTGGCCACGACGCTCTGTCCATTGATTTCAATGATCCGGTGCCCCACACGGACGCCTCCTCTCTCAGCTATTCCCCCTCGCATGAGGCTGCAGATCTGCCAGAGTCAAAGGCAGAGTTACCCTCATTGCAGACAGTGCGGTGGGGCTGGAAGGCCGTCTTTCCTGAAAGCCCCCTGCCCCTACACTCTGCTCTTGGAGAAACTGACATGGTTAGGCTTTGGGCATTTAACTCTCTTAGTGTCTTTTCACAAAAAAATAGGTGCCGTCGGCCCACATGGCCACCTTGTTCATGCGGCTTGCACAGAGACTGTAGCACATCACTGGTTTTTACGGCACACTGAATTCTACTTCTCATCCCAGCTGGGGCTGGGTAAAAAGGGCCATTTGGGTCTGTCGCAGAGTCGCCAGTGTTTCCAAACTGTCAGCCTGTGTGACACAGGTTAGTGTTAGTTCCCGTAGTCATGACTGGGACTCAAGCACTGAAGCGTTTAATGCCAGCAGACTGTTTTTAGGGTCACGATTGCCTGAGCCACCATGGGGCTGGAACTCCACTCCGTGTTCCAAAGTGTGGCTGGCTGGAGGGGAGAGACTCCTTCAGAGTTTCCCAATTCAGCGGCCCCTGTTCAAACTCCCTTCCCACAGAAAAGACAGTGAGGCTGGATTTTGTGATGGCACAGCCAGGTACCACAGTGACCCGAGGTTGCAGGCGGGGCTGATGCGCCCTCCACCCTTACCTCACACACACTACAACATAACTTTTCCCAAAAGAGTAGGTCTGAATTTACTAAGTTGGCTTTTCATTCCAGACCATGCACCTTTATTTAAAAGTGGATGCAGACAAGATTGCAAGTGACATCTTGCAGCAACATGCTGTGTGATTCTGAGTGTGTGGCCCAGCTGCTCTCTCAGCTAGTCTGGGGTCAAAACATTCCTTAGGTGTTTTCCCAGTGGACCCACACATGTTAACAACTCCTTGTTCGTATCTGAACTTTTAATGCAGTTTAACTATGAACAAAGCAAACAAGTACAAGTACAAACCAATGAAAAGATGATCTCAGAGCTAAACTGTAAAGAGTCACCCTAGATCCTCTCCTAATAGGCAAATTAGGCTACTCAGGTACAAAGAATGCAGGAAGTGGGGCTGGATATTTCAACTCCAAATGGGAAGTTCAAGGGTATTTCTAAACCTTCAAATGTATTTGGAATGATATTTTAATTACCTAGGACTTTTTTTTTTTTTTTTTTTTTAAGACAGAGTCTTGCTCTGTCACCTAGGCTGGAGTGCAGTGGCATAATCTCTGCTCACTGCAACCTTTGCCTCCCGGGTTCAGGTGATCCTCCTGCCTCACCCTCCTGAGTAGCTGGGATTACAGGTGCCCGCCACCACACCTGGCTACTTTTTGTATTTTTAGCAGAGACTGGGCTTTGCCATGTTGGCCAAGCTGGTCTCAAACTCCTGGCCTCAAGTGATCTGCCTGGCTTCGCCGGAAGGCCAAGGTTTGAAGGATCACTCAAATACCAAACTGTTCGAGTCCCAATTGTGACTGTGGGAACTGAGCCGGCCCCTGCACTGTACAGCCCCAGGCTTGGGAGTCAGCTGCTCTGCGGGACTCTGTGCAGCCAGGGTGGACAGTCCAGAGGCAAGGAGGCTCTTGGAGGGTGCATCCCAAACTCTCAAGCTGGCAGCCGGGAAGGCAGTCCTGCATGTCACAGAAACACTGGGTTCTGGGTGGGAATCTCTGCTGAAGGGACTCTGTCCAGAGAGGGAGCTGAGCCTCCTTCATCCACTCATACTCTTTCTTGATGGATTCCTTCAGGGAACAAACTGGCTTAAAACAAAAAAAAAAAAGTCAAAGGCCCTGGGAGCCTGGGATACCAGCACTTTGGGAGGCAGAGGCAGGTGGATCACAAGGTCAGGAGTTCAAGACCGGCCTGGCCAGTATGGTGAAACCATGCCTCTACTAAAAATACAAAAATTAGCCGGGCGTGGTGGCACGTGCCTGTAGTCCCAGCTACTCAGGAGGCTGAGGCAGGAGAATCCCTTGAACCCAGGAGGTGGAGGTTGCAGTGAGCCGAGATCGTGCCACTGTACTCCATCTTGGATGACAGAGCGAGACTCCATCTCAATTTAAAAAAAAAAAAAAAGGCCATGCTACATTTTTTTAAAGCATTCCAACAGATGTTTATTATTACTAAAATGTCCACTTTAACGTTTTTATTATTATTAGTATACTTTAAGTTTTAGGGTACATGGGCACAACGTGCAGGTTTGTTACATATGTATACATGTGCCATGTTGGTGTGCTACACCCATTAACTCGTCATTTAGCATTAGGTATATCTCCTAATGCTATCCCTCCCCCCTCCCCCCACCCCACAACAGTCCCCAGTGTGTGATGTTCCCCTTCCTGTGTCCATGTGTTCTCATTGTTCAATTCCCACCTATGAGTGAGAACATGCAGTGTTGGTTTTTTGTCCTTGCCATAGTTTTCTGAGAATGATGGTTTCTAGCTTCATCCATGTCCCTACAAAGGACATGAACTCATCCTTTTTTATGGCTGCATAGTATTCCATGGTGTATATGTGCCACATTTTCTTAATCTAGTCTATCATTGTTGGACATTTGGGTTGGTTCCAAGTCTTTGCTATTGTGAATAGTGCCACAATAAACATACGTGTGCATGTGTCTTTGCAGCAGCATGATTTATAGTCCTTTGGGTGTATACCCAGTAATGGGATGGCTGGGTCAAATGGTATTTCTAGTTCTAGATCCCTGAGGAATCGCCACACTGACTTCCACAATGGTTGAACTAGTTTACAGTCCCACCAACAGTGTAAAAGTGTTCGTATTTCTCCACATCCTCTCCAGCACCTGTTGTTTCCTGACTTTTTAATGATCGCCATTCTAACTGGTGTGAGATGGTATCTCATTGTGGTTTTGATTTGCATTTCTCTGATGGCCAGTGATGATGAGCATTTTTTCATGTGTCTTTTGGCTGCATAAATGTCATCTTTTGAGAAGTGTTTGTTCATATCCTTCATCCACTTTTTGATGGGGTTGTTTTTTTCTTGTAAATTTGTTTGAGTTCATTGTAGATTCTGGATATTAGCCCTTTGTCAGATGAGCAGGTTGTAAAAATTTTCTCCCTTTCTGTAGGTTGCCTGTTCACTCCGATGGTAGTTTCTTTTGCTGTGCAGAAGCTCTTGAGTTTAATTAGATCCCATTTGTCAATTATGGCTTTTGTTGCCATTGCTTTTGGTGTTTTAGACATGAAGTACTTGCCCATGCCTATGTCCTGAATGGTATTGCCTAGGGTTTTTATGGTTTTAGGTCTAACATGTAGGTCTTTAATCCATCTTGAATTAATTTTTTATAAGGTGTAAGGAAGGGACCCAATTTCAGCTTTCTACATATGGCTAGCCAGTTTTCCCAGCACCATTTATTAAATAGGGAATCCTTTCCCCCATTGCTTGTTTTTCTCAGGTTTGTCAAAGATCAGACAGTTGTAGATATGTGGCATTATTTCTGAGGGCTCTGTTCTGTTCCATTGGTCTATATCTCTGTTTGGTACCAGTACCATGCTGTTTTGGTTACTATAGCCTTGTAGTATAGTTTGAAGTCAGGTAGCGTGATGCCTCCAGCTTTGTTCTTTTAGCTTAGGATTGACTTGGCAATGTGGGCTCTTTTTTGGTTCCATATGAATTTTAAAGTAGTTTTTTCCAATTCTGTGAAGAAAGTCATTGGTAGCTTGATGGGGATGGCATTGAATCTATAAATTACCTTGGGCAGTATGGCCATTTTCATGATATTGATTCTTCCTACCCATGAGCATGGAATGTTCTTCCATTTCTTTGTATCCTCCTTTATTTCCTTGAGCAGTGGTTTGTAGTTCTCCTTGAAGAGGTCCTTCACATCCCTTGTAAGTTGGATTCCTAGGTATTGTATTCTCTTTGAAGCAATTGTGAATGGGAGTTCACTCATGATTTGGCTCTCTGTTTGTTGTTGGTGTATAAGAATGCTTGTGATTTTTGCACATTGATTTTGTATCCTGAGACTTTGCTGAAGTTGCTTATCAGCTTAAGGAGATTTTGGGCTGAGACAGTGGGGTTTTCTAGATATACAATCATGTCATCTGCAAACAGGGATAATTTGACTTCCTCTTTTCCTAATTGAATGCCCTTTATTTCCTTCTCCTGCCTAATTGCCCTGGCCAGAACTTCCAAAACTATGTTGAATAGGAGTGGTGAGAGAGGGCATCCCTGTCTTGTGCCAGTTTTCAAAGGGAATGCTTCCAGTTTTTGTCCATTCGGTATGATATTGGCTGTGGGTTTGTCATAGATAGCTCTTATTATTTTGAGATACATCCCATCAATACCTAATTTATTGAGAGTTTTTTAGCATGAAGCGTTGTTGAATTTTGTCAAAGGCCTTTTCTGCATCTATTGAGATAATCATATGGTTTTTGTCTTTGGTTCTGTTTATATGATGGATTATGTTAATTGATTTTTGTATGTTGAACCAGCCTTGCATCCCAGGGATGAAGCCCACTTGATCATGGTGGATAAGCTTTTTGATGTGTTGCTGGATTCAGTTTGCCAGTATTTTATTGAGGATTTTTGCATCAATGTTCATCAACGATATTGGTCTAAAATTATCTTTTTTGGTTGTGTCTCTGCCCGGCTTTGGTATCAGAATGATGCTGGCCTCATAAAATGAGTTAGGGAGGATTCCCTCTTTTTCTATTGATTGGAATAGTTTCAGAAGGAATGCTACCAGCTCCTCCTTGTACCTCTGGTAGAATTCGGCTGTGAATCCATCTGGTCCTGGACTCTTTTTGGTTGGTAAGCTATTAATTATTGGCTCAATTTCAGAGCCTGTTATTGGTCTATTCAGAGATTCAACTTCTTCCTGGTTTAGTCTTGGGAGGGTGTATGTGTTGAGGAATTTATCCATTTCTTCTAGATTTTCTAGTTTATTTGAGTAGAGGTGTTTATAGTATTCTCTGATGGTAGTTTGTATTTCTGTGGGATCATTGGTGATATCCCCTTTGTCATTTTTTATTGCGTCTATTTGATTCTTCTCTCTTTTCTTCTTTATTAGTCTTGCTAGCGGTCTATCAATTTTGTTGATCTTTTCAAAAAACCAGCTCCTGGATTCATTGATTTTTTGAAGGGTTTTTTGTGTCTCTATTTCCTTCAGTTCTGCTCTGATCTGAGTTATTTCTTGCCTTCTGCTAGCTTTTGAATGTGTTTGCTCTTGCTTCTCTAGTTCTTTCAATTGTGATGTTAGGGTGTCAATTTTAGATCTTTCCTGCTTTCTCTTGTGGGCATTTAGTGCTATAAATTTCCCTCTACACACTGCTTTGAATGTGTCCCAGAGATTCTGGTATGTTGTGTCTTTGTTCTCGTTGGTTTCAAAGAACATCTTTATTTCTGCCTTCATTTCGTTATGTACCCAGTAGTCATTCAGGAGCAGGTTGTTCAGTTTCCATGTAGTTGAGTGGTTTTGAGTGAGTTTCTTAATCCTGAGTTCTAGTTTGATTGCACTGTGGTCTGAGAGACAGTTTGTTATAATTTCTGTTCTTTTACATTTGCTGAGGAGTGCTTTACTTCCAACTATGTGGTCAATTTTGGAATAGGTGTGGGGTGGTGCTGAAAAGAATGTATATTCTGTTGATTTGGGGTGGAGAGTTCTGTAGATGTCTGTTAGGTCCGCTTTGTGCAGAGCTGAGTTCAATTCCTGGATATCCTTGTTAACTTTCTGTCTCATTGATCTGTGTAATGTTGACAATGGGGTGTTAAAATCTCCCATTATTATTGTGTGTGAGTCTAAGTCTCTTTGTAGGTCACTAAGGACTTGCTTTATGAATCTGGGTGCTCCTGTATTGGGTGCATGTATATTTAGGAGTGTTAGTTCTTCTTGTTGAATTGATCCCTTTACCATTATGTAATGGCCTTCTTTGTCTCTTTTGATCTTTGTTGGTTTAAAGTCTGTTTTATCCGATACTAGGATTGAAACCCCTGCCTTTTTTTGTTTTCCGTTTGCTTGGTAGATCTTCCTCCATCCCTTTATTTTGAGCCTATGTGTGTCTCTGCACATGAGATTGGTTTCCTGAATACAGCACATGGATGGGTCTTGACTCTTTATCCAATTTGCCAGTCTGTGCCTTTTAATTGGAGCATTTAGCCCATTTACATTTAAGGTTAGTATTGTTATGTGTGAATTTGATCCTGTCATTATGATGTTAGCTGGTTATTTTGCTCGTTAGTTGATGCAGTTTTTTCCTAGCCTCGATGGTCTTTACAATTTGGCATGTTTTTGCAGTGGCTGTTACTGGTTATTCCTTTCCATGTTTAGTGCTTCCTTCAGGAGCTGTTTTACAGCAGGTCTGGTGGTGACAAAAATCTCTCAGCATTTGCTTGTCTGTAATGTACTTTATTTCTCCTTCACTTATGAAGTTTAGTTTGGCTGGATATGAAATTCTGGCTTGAAAATTCTTTTCTTTAAGAATGTTGAATATTGGCCCCACTCTCTTCTGGCTTGTAGAGTTTCTGCCAAGAGATCCGCTGTTAGTCTGATGGGCTTCCCTTTGTGGGTAACCTGACCTTTCTCTCTGGCTGCCCTTAACGTTTTTTCCTTCATTTCAACTTTGGTGAATCTGACAATTATGTGTCTTGGAGTTCTCTTCTCGAGGAGTATCTTTGTGGCGTTCTCTGTATTTCCTGAATTTGAATGTTGGTCTGCCTTGCTAGATTGGGGAAATTCTCCTGGATAATATCCTGCAGAGTGTTTTCCAACTTGGTTCCATTCTCCAGGTCACTTTCAGGTACACCAATCAGATGTAGATTTGGTCTTTTCACATAGTCCCATATTTCTTGGAGGCTTTGTTCCTATCTTTTTATTCTTTTTTCTCTAAACTTCTCTTTATGCTTCATTTCATTCATTTTGTCTTCCATCACTGATACCCTTTCTTCCAGTTGATCACATCGGCTACTGAGGCTTGTGCATTCATCACGTAGTTCTCTTGCCATGGTTTTCAGCTCCAAAGGTCCTTTAAGGACTTCTCTGCATTGGTTATTCTAGTTATCCATTCATCTAATTTTTTTTCAAGGTTTTTAACTTCTTTGCCATTCGTTCGAACTTCCTCCTTTAGCTTGGAGTAGTTTGATTGTCTGAAGCCTTCTTCTCTCAGCTCGTCAAAGTCATTCTCCATCCAGCTTTGTTCCGTTGCTGGTGAGGAGCTGCGTTCCTTTGGAGGAGGAGAGGTGCTCTGATTTTTAGAGTTATTCCAGTTTTTCTGCTCTGGTTTTTCCCCATCTTTGTGATTTTATCTACCTTTGCCTTTGATGATGGTGATGTACAGATGGGGTTTTGGTGTGGATGTCCTTTCTGTTTGTTTAGTTTTCCTTCTGACAGTTAGGACCCTCAGCTGCAGGTCTGTTGGAGTTTGCTGGAGGTCCACTCCAGACCTTGTTTGCCTGAGTATCAGCAGCAGTGGCTGCAGAACAGCGGGTATTGGTGAACCGCAAATGCTGCTGCCTGATCGTTCCTCTGGAAGTTTTGTCTCAGAGGAGTACCCGGCTGTGTGAGGTGTCAGTCTGCCCCTACTAGGGGGTGCCTCCCGGTTAGGCTACTTGGGGGTCAGGGACCCACTTTAGGAGGCAGTCTGCCCATTCTCAGATCTCAAGCTGTGTGCTGGGAGAACCACTACTCTCTTCAAAGCTGTCAGACAGGGACATTTAAGTCTGCAGAGGTTACTGCTGCCTTGTGTTTGTCTATGCCCTGCCCCAAGAGGTGGAGCCTACAGAGGCAGGCAGGCCTCCTTGAGCTGTGGTGGGCTCCACCCAGTTCGAGCTTGTTGGCAGCTTTGTTTACCTACTCAAGCCTCGGCAATGGCGGGCACCCCTCCCCCAGCCTTGCTGCCACCTTGCAGTTTGATCTCAGACTGCTGTGCTAGCAATGAGCGAGGCTCCATGGGCGTAGGACCCTCTGAGCCATGTGTGGGATATAATCTCCTGGTGTGCCATTTGTTAAGCCCAATGCCTCGCCCTGCTTCGGCTCACACAAGGTGTGCTGCACCCACTGTCCTGCACCCACTGTCCGGCACTCCCCAGTGAGATGAACCTGGTACCTCAGTTGGAAATGCAGAAATCACCCATCTTCTGCATTGCTCATGCTGGGAGCTGTAGACTGGAGCTGTTCCTATTCGGCCATTTTAATCACATTTCTAATAGAAATTGAATATTGGAGGATTTCTAGTGAACATGTGAGGGGAAGAAGATCAAAAGATCACTTTGCACTGGAAACATTTCACTGTGTTTGTGCTGTGGTTGGAGATTTCAGTAAGATGGGAGCTGAGCAGAGGCCTACTGTGTGTCCTGTGAGGCCACTGCACTGGAGGCGACCTCAGGTGTCACTTGGAATGCTGTCTCTTCTCCCTTAGCCAAGGCAGGTCCTGGAGACCTTCAGAGCCTGTTTTCTAATGCTGTGGCAAACAACTAAAATGTCGACATTTGACCTGTGTGCTCCCAAATGGACCATAAAAAGATGATTGCTTATTTTATTTAGTAATAAAAGTAATATTTTTAGGCCACCCCTCCACAAGAAAGCTTAGAAATTGCTTAAGTAGCTGAGAAGCTGGCCACAGCAGGTGTGCTGGTAAGTGTTTAACAACCAGCTCTCTGGGGGGGAAACTATGAGTGTGCATCTGTGCTTATTTACCTGATATAAAGAATGTGTAACACACAGTTTACAAATAATAATAATATATTCACTCATTTTTTGGGGGGGGTGCAGGTAGAAACTCACTCTGTTGCCCAGGCTGGAGTGCAGTGGTGCAATCATAGCTCACTGCAGCCTTAAACTCCTGGGCTCAAGCAATCCTCCTGCCCCAGCCTCCCAAGTAGCTGGGACCACAGGCACGTGACACCATGTCTGGCTAATGTTTTATGTTTTTGTAGAGAAGGAGGACTTGCACTGTTGCCCTAACTGGTCTTCAACTCCTAGGCTCAAATGATCCTGTTGCCTCAGCCTCCCAAAGCTCTGAGTTTACAGGTGTGAGCCACCATGCCCCGCCTCACTAATCTTTATTGCAAATGCCACCCACCTATAACTTCAGTATGACTTGGTATTTCCTGCAAACTCACAATCAGTTTTTCTAATTCTGTTACCAAGAATAGTGTCACCAAACCAGACTACAAATAAATGTTTGACTCCTATGTGAATCGCCAAAGATGTTACTCATAATACTGGTGAATGAATGGAGCTCTGACATGCTACACTGTGGGAGGCTGTGGCTCTGGGTGTGGTAGAGCTGGTTGCCATCATAAAGAAAAGCTCAAGTGAATGGGGGGAGAGCAGGTAGAACTGGAACCCATGAGGACAGAGTTCTGTCCTACCTGCCTCCCACTGCAGTGATGTGGGGACCTGCAGGAGGAGTTAGTCCCACTCACACCTGGCCCAGGTCTCAGAGATACTGAGGGAGAATCTGGAGGAGCTGCCGACCGGCTGCTTCTCTGAGCCGCTGGTGCAAGCCAGCAGACCATCGACAACGTGTATGAGCTGCGACAGCCCCTGGTGTTGCCGGGACCCACAGTGCATTTTGGCTGACGCTTCCTATCTGCCCTCCAAATCTCACCTAAACCTCTCCTGCAGTCCTCATTTGGAATCATACAGGGAGGGAAGTCTGGAAAACAAAGTTCTAGCCTAGTTAAGTTGACTTGATGGAACGCCACCATGCTTGCTTGATGCTTCTGTGCTAGGTGGGGATCTCCTCACCCTGTTGTTCCAGGTTTCTTTGCCTCTGCATGGAAAGCTGTTTTTCAACCATGGGACCTGGAAAACTCCTGTAGTATATTCAAACCCTGCAAAGATCTCACTCGCTCTGAGAAAAGCTCCCGGACCCTTCCCCTCCAGGACTAGTTCTGTACCTTGTACTCAATGACTGTGTCTACTGCACATGCTAAATGTTCAAGGACAGAGTCACTAATGGTTAGAACAACTGAGCCAAGCTGTGCCCATCGCATAGGTGAAGAACTGGAGGAGCAGAGTGGTTGAGTAGCTTGCCAAGATCACACAGTGACAATTGGTAGGAAAGCTGTAATTTGAACCCGGTCTGTGACTCCTCTTTTAATTATAACCCACGGTGACTAGAAAGTCAAGGGAGATTTGGCTCCTGCCCATAAGAAACTCCAATTAGTGGAGGGGAAAGAGGTGGTTAAGGTAGTAAGTAGCTGGTCAGTTGTGCTATGTCTGAGACTGACAATAGGAGCAGAATGTGGAGTAGACCCTGGATAAGGGGGTCCAGGGTAGGAATGAGGTTGTTTCCCGCCTTCCGCCTTCCGCCTTCCACTTCCCGCAGCGGTAGCCTCAGCCTTCTAGGAATGGCTTCTCCCCAGCTGGAGGAAGGGACTAGAAGGCAGCAGTTATCTATGCTGCTTGCCGCGCCACTGTCACAAAGACTCTGGAGCTAGCCTGAGAACTGGGGTCACAGCAGTGTGCTCAGCCTACCTCCAGGGCCTCCTGGGTCTGGCCAGTAGGAAGATGAGGTCCGCGTTGTTGTCTGTCAGCAGCTGGGATCATACAAAGGAGCATTAGCCTGGGAGCTAGGGAGTGAGGTTCTAGCTGCCTGCTCGCTGTGTAGTCTCCAGCAAGTCCTACCCCTCTTGGGGTCTTTGGTTTCCTTATCTGGAAAACAAGGGGCCTGGGATGGGTGGCCAAGGCTCCTCCTTCCCTCAATCGCCTGGGAATCTTGGCAGTTATTTGGATTTGGCATTTCTCATGTAATTCCACCAGAGGGCGCCAAATACTAGCTCTTACCAACTTGGTTCCTGAAGCGGGTGTCTGCTGGGGAGGGCGCAGAGGAGGTGGAGTGTGAGTTGAGTGTGATAGTGTGGAAGCAATTAGCAATTAAGTGTATGTGAGTGAGTGTGTGTGTGTGTGTGTGTGTGTGTGTAGCACCAAAGCTCCTGTAACCGCCTATATCTCCCACCACCACCCTCTGCCTGCTGGCTGCATCTTCAGCCACTTGAATTCTCCTTTCTTAGCCTCCACGCCCTACCAGAGAGGCCTGGCCTCAGGGCCTTTGTCCTTGCTGTCCCTTTAGCTTGGAACACGCATCCCTAAGGCATCCACAGGGCCCTCCCTCACTTCTTCTTCATGAGGCATTCCTAACCAACCTACATAAAATAGCCACCCCCAAACTCATTCTAAGCTTTAGTTAAAAACATTAAAGAAAACTGTGGTAAAATATACCATAACATAAAAAGTACTATTTTAACCATTAATTTTTAAAATAAGAATATAGTTAAATACATATAACATAAAATTTCCCATCTTAGCTATTTTTAAGTGCATAGTTCAGTAGTGTAGCGTACATTCACATTGCTGTGCAATCAGTCTGCAGGGCTCTCTTTTTCTGGCAAAACTGGAGCTCTGTACCTACTTAACAATAACTCTTCATTTCCTCCACTCCTCTACTTTCTGTCTGTAAGAATTTGACTACATCAGGTATCTCATGTAAGTGGAATTATACAGTATTTATCTTCTTGTGACTGGCTTATTTCACTCAGCATAATGTCCTTCCAGTAGCGATAAACCCTTATGCTAGCATGTGCCAGAATTTCCTTCCTTTTTAAGGCTGAATAATATCCCACTGTGTGCCTGTACCATGTTGTGTTGACCCACTCATCGATGGACACTTTGGTTGCTTCTGTCTTTTGGCTGTTGTGAATAATGCTACCATAAATAGGGATGTACAAATACCTGTTTGAACTCCTGATTTCAATTATTGTTATTATTATTTTTTGAGACAAGGTCTTAGTCTGTTGCCCAGCCTGGATTGCAGTGGCACAATTTCAACTCACTGAAGCCTTGACCTCCCAAGCCCTAAGCAATCCTCCCAATTCAGCTTCCTGAGTAGCTGGGACTCCAGACTTGCACCACCACGTCCAGTTAATTTTATTTTTTTTTGTGGAGACAGGGTTTTGCTATGTTGCCCAGACTGGTCTGGAACTCCTGAGCTCAAATGATCCCCCTGTCTTGGCCTCCCAAAGTGCTGAGATCACAGGTGTGAGCTATCACACCTGGCCCCTGCTTTCAATTCTTGTTCCATGCTTTTATATTTTATTTTATTTTATTTATTTTGAGATAGGGTCTCGCTCTGTTGCCCAGGCTGGAGGGCAGTGTCCATGCTTTATTTTTTCTGCAGAGCACTAATTACCAACCAACTGCCCTCCTCCTGCCCACAACTAGAGATGCAAATGATTTCTATTTGGTAGAAAGATAACCCTAAAGGTTATAATTGTATTGCCTTAAGGACATTAGCCAGTTTTGTTTTATTTTATTTTATTGTTGAGACGGAGTCTCGCTCTGTCACCCAGGCTGTAGTGCAGTGGTGCAATCTCGGCTCACTGCAACCTCCGCTTCCTGGGTTCAAGCGATTCTCATGCCTCAGTCTCCCATGTTGCTGGGATTACAGATGCCCACCACTATGCCTAATTTTTGTGTTTTTGGTAGAGGTGGGGTTTCACCACGTTGGCCAGGCTGGTTTCAATCTCCTGACCTCAGATGATCCACCCGCCTCGGCTTCCCAAAGTTCTGGGATTACAGGTGTGAGCCACCATGCCCAGTCGCAACCGGTTTTACTTCAAACCTAGTAATTTTATTCTAACATTCTTTTAAAAATGTCTATAAATACTTAGGTCCTCCAAATACTTTTTGGACCAGCTTTACCATCTTACTTGTTTCATCATTAATGATTAATAAATCTCTGATATGTGTTCATTCCATCTTTGTTATGGGAGTTATGTTTTTTAACTTTTAAAAAAGTATGCATTGGCATCTAGAAGTTTTTCCCAGGGGCTAAAATCTGCTTTTGGATGAAATTCAGTACATCAGTAGTTTAGGACTTCGGGTGTTTGGGGGCGACCTGCACTAAGCCATGCAAGTGCGTGCGGAGCCTCTTGAGTTGTGGCTCCCGTTGGTGTACCCAGGGGGTCTGGAAATTCCAGGAAGCTTATGAGGACCTGGATCTGCTGGGCCCCAGGAACGGCCAGTACTTCCTCAGCAACCACTATGCGCCATGCACATTCTGAAAGCTTTCTATGTGTTAGCTTATCCTCACACGGTCTCCCTGAGATAAACACTAGTTTGCAGATGAGGAAACAAGCTCAGAGGGTTTAAGGAACTCTGAGGATCACAGTTTAAGCAAAAATTATAGAAGAAAGACCTAAATAAAGTGGTTCTATGTGCATCAAGGTGGTTAAATGGTTTTTTTCTCTAGTTCTGCAATTTCATCTAAGATCAAAGCCAAGAGGGGGAAGCTAAGGTATAGTCTATGGTAGGAGCAGCCTTGCCTGTGGGGGCAGACCACACCCACACAGGCAGATACCATCCATCAGGGGACTGTGGTCTCCTGTGGGACAGACAGACTTCCAGGGAGCTTGCTGAGAGGTGCCAGTTCAAAGACTAGACCCTCCCACCAGCTGTCTTCCCACCGTCATCCTGGTGATGTGAGAGGGGTGTTGTCATTGGCGGGGGATGGGTGCAGAATTCAGGAAAGGAGCTACTTACTCGCCACTCCACTCTGGGAGGCAAGGGAATATTGACCTCGTCAAGGGAGGCGAATCCCAAGAGCATCACTGTGAAGGCTGGGGGCCTGTGCCCTCCACTTGCCTCCCCACACACTGAACTGGGTGCTGGTAACGTCTTATCTACATGTGGCCGAGGGACCGGACCAGCAGAAGGTGTGGTGCTGTGGGTGGTGAGAGAGATAATAGGAAGCAATGGCTCTGGGATGGGCAGGGGAGAGACAGCCAGGGGTGCCCCTCCCTTCCTCTGAGGGTGAGGAGGATGGTTGCTGGATGCTTCAGGAGCTTGCTGGCTGGGGAGATGGTGGCTGCAGGCGGCTGGGGACACAACCTGTGTGGAAGAGGTGTGCACTTTAGAGGTGTGCACAGATTGGTACCAGTCTGTGGCCTGTTAGGAACTGTGCCACACAGCAGGAGGCGAGCAACAAGTGAACAAAGCTTCATGTGTATTTACAGCCGCTCGCCGTCGCTGGCTCACATTACCGCCTGAGCTCCGCCTCCTGTCAGATCTGCGGCAGCATTAGATTCTCATAGGAGTGTGAACCCTATCGTGAACTGTGCATGCGAGGGATCTAGGTTGCAGGCTCCTTATGAGAATCTAATGCCTGATGATCTGTCACTGTCTCCCATCAGCCCTAGAAGGGACCATTGAGTTGCAGGAAAACCAGTTCAGGGCTCCCACTGAATTATACAGTTCACCATAGAATTGTGAACTGTATAATTATACAATTCTATGGTGAATTGTATAATTATTTCATTATATAACAATCAGAGAAATAAAGTGCACAATAAATATAATGTGCTTGAATCATCCCCCTCCGTGGCACCCGGTCTCTGGAAAGACTGTCTTCCATGAAACTGGTCCCTGGTGCCAAAAAAGGTGGAGACTGCTGCTTTAGAGGACTGTGGCTAAGGGGTCAGCTGGAAGATGGGGCCCAGGGCTCAGGGACCCTGAATGCCCGGTTGCTGCCAATTGTTTGTCTTCATTGATCTCCTGGTCAGTGGACCAGATCAGCAGAATGAACCAGCAAGGCGAGGACTGTGACCTTCCCAAGGGCAACTCTTAATGTAGGGGAACCTCTGTGCACCTCCTACCCATGCCCCTTCCCATAAAGGGACTCAAAGAAGGAGACAGGGAGGGAGGGAGGGAGCTGAGAGCAAGTCCCGCTCTCCTAGGCCAGTGCTCAATTCCAGTCTGGGGATGGGGAAGTAGGGCAGACTGATTTGAATAAGAGATGTGGTTTGCAAATCAATGGAAGAAAACCAGGAAGGAAAACATTATAAGAACCAAAAGAGACCCAAAAGTCTAACGCTGAGTTCATCCGTGTGCGATGACAAGCCTGTCCCAGGTGGGTGCAGGTGGGAGTTGTTGGAAAGCTGAGCATAAGTGCTTGAACCCTCTGTGCCCGTTTCCTCCTGTATAAAATGGAGACAATGATAATACAGGAAAAGCTTCTACCTCTTAGAGGTGTTGTGGGGAGTTACCAAGTTCATCTCTGTAGGATGCTTGGCACATGGAAGTTACTATAAAGACTAGCTGCCATTCTTCAAATTGTGACTTCCCCAGACACCAGTTCAATGTGCTTTCTTCCCACTTGATTCAATGGCAGCCGTCTCGGTGGTGGGACACTCTGCTTGCTGTGAGGAGGATGGAGGAGAAGGGGCTCCTCGGGGCCAGGCCACAGGACCCTCAGGATAAGGCCCTGCCTCCATGTTCAGGGCTTTCAGCAGCTACAGACCTGACGGGGCTGCAAAAAGCTTTGCAGGGAAGATGGGGGAGGGGTGTATGCAAAGAAAAAGCTGACAAGCAGTCTGCTTTGGAACAGGGCTGGACACTCTGTGTTGGGGAGTCCAGGGCCCCCAGCATGCCCCCGGCAGCAGGGAGGGCATGCCTGGCAACCTTCAAAAAGTGAATTTCCAAAGAGCACCAGGAGGAAACCTTCCAGAACCTTCTCACAGAACCTTTGGATGGGCCTCTCAGGGCGCTGTTTTCCACCGTCCACTTAGATCTTAGTCCCTTACAAAAAGGTACCTCCCTTACGGGAGATGACTGAGGTGGGGGAGAATTAATTCCTGTTTTCCTGCCCTCATGGAGGATGTCAAGTAAGAAATCCGGAGAATTTCTCTTTCTCCAGTTCAGTGTGCTCAAAGGAGACCCACAGGACTGGAGGATCAACTGGGACAGGAGAACAGAGCCTTTCTTGTCTAAAACCAAGTCAGTTCCACAGAATAAAAGCTCATTTAGAGAACTCCTGGGCTCTGGGCGCCTATAGGGTGGGTAGGAGCTAGTCAGTCAGTCTGTTAGGGAAAAGACAAACTCATCACATGATCCCAAGCCTTCCCTGCAACAAGAAGACACTTGGCCAGGCCAAGAGGTGAAGTTCTTGTTTATTGTTGCAGCAACTCTTATACAGACATTAGCGTTCAGTTAAATAAAGGAAGATAGATAGCACAGTAAATACATCACAACCCCAAACTGGATGACTGTGGCCACGGGACGGAGGAGGGAGGGAGGGAGGGACCAGTGACCAGACTGTCAAGGAAGTACATTCAGTGGGTGTGCGGTGTCCACATTCCAGGCTCACGTGTAGATATATTTTATTTATATATTTATTTATATTTATATATAGATCATTGAGTTTTGTGTATACAAAGAACGATATTGTTACAAATACAATACTATACTTCTCCCGACACTTTACAATAAGCTCTATTTCACCCTCTTTACAGAACAATAGTACAAGTTCATACTCTAGGTGCTGTGCTAAGTATGTACAAGAAATGTCATTCCCACACAGTCCTCACACACTGCCTTGATGGAGGGGAAGAAAGATCGAGTTGTGTGCTCAAGTCAACCTAGGCCAGGGAAGGAGACACATGAAACTCAAACCAACAGGTGGCCTGTGAATGCGAGTAAACACATCTAAGGAGGGGCGGCCCCTGGTTGTAAACATTGGTAACGGCTACACCACTGGGTCGAGGGACCCGGGAAGGGCTCTGTAGATGGTTTTCATCTGTGTGCGGGAGGTGTTGGTGCCCACAGGGTGAGGGGGGCAGAGGAGCGATGGGGGAGGTAGTAGGTTACTCTGGGACTCCCTGAAGGCGGTGTTGATGGGCAATGTTCAGAAAGCAAACCCGTGCACAGGGACCCGGCACCCCTGCCATGCACTCCTAGGAGCCTGCTCTGGCGAGGGAAGGTGTCGCTGGAGAAGTGGGCTCCAGGCATTGGTCTTTGGGGGTTTCTTCCTCTCATGAACCCAAGGCTGATGGTGGCTCCCTGAAATGCTCACACTGGAGAAAAGGCAGGATGGGTTCTGGTGCCTCTGCCTGGACCAGGAGGGGGAGGTGAACGTGGGAGTCCAACCCCAAAGCTGAGCCACCAGCACACCCTGGTGGAGCAGCCACAGCAGCTCTGTGCCCTCACAGCGTTTGGGAAGGCTGCCCTGTACATAGCCTTCCCATTACATGGGGTATTTAGATATTTACATGTATAACTATATATACTGGGATGACAGAAGGGAAGACCACCACTTCTCTTGGGACTTTCAAAAAATCTAGCGACTTGCTTTTAAGACTGTGGCTGCTGAGGTGACCATACCTAGGCTCACTCCCTTGCCCCAGTGGTAGTGGGAAAAAGAACCCACTTCAGCTGGGTGGACCTGTACCGAGCTCCAGCAACTTCCACTCACTGGGTGTGAAGACACACCTGGATTAACACAAAAGAATGTGGCAGAGAAATCTTCTCACTCTAATGTTACAATGTCAGTCCTCTAGGAGAGCTTGCAGAATTGGCTTTTTCAGCACCTCTCAAAGTTTACAAGGTTTTTGTGCAATAGGAATAGAAAGTATATTCTCTCCTTTAGGTGAACATACATAACCGTTATGTGCAGGTTGTACAGGGATGCACTACTGGAGTTCTGTCCCCTGGCCAGTCGTGGGCGGGCCTCTGTGGCACTGCCCAGGTGCCTAGGGACAGACAGGCATGGGCCCCTACGATGATTTTCCAAGGCTCCTGATGCCTGAAATACCACCAGTAACACTTCATTCCTGTTCTATCCACTCTTATTGGCAGAGGAAAGATGAACTGGCTGATGACTCTTTAGTGTCTCACTGTATCACCAGATACTCTACAGCAAATGGAGAACCCTGGCCATGGTTCCTTCCTGGTCCTCACGTTTGTGATGGGTTGACCTTGAGGCTGGTCTCCCAGAAACATTCTGTAAAGCATCCTTCAAAGAAGTCCTGGGGAGCTTTACGGACCATCCCAGAGCCCCTGGCCCCACCGGGTGCCACTCTCTGCAGCAGCAGAAGTCCCTTTCCCCCCAGGGCACCTGGGCAGCCAGCGGCCTCCCTTCCTCAGGGCTCCTTTGTAACACAGTGAAACTGAGAGTGCCACTGCTCGTTCCTGTCAAGCACTGAGCTTCCCTGATTCTAAGCAGAAAACTCAGAAGATGCAGAGATCTCGGGGAATTGATCACAGAACTCTCTGGTTGAAGTCTCTTGTCCCTAATCTTGTTATAGTCACTTTGCTCCCTCCTTAGAATCCCTCCATTCTCTCTATAAATACATGCTACCCACCATTTGCTCACTGAGTTCCTATTTCCATAGACACAACATAAATATCTCGGATGCAGAGAACAGGGACTATATTAATTACAAAATATAATAGTTTCTCTTCCCCTGTCTCTACTGAGGTCATGAATGAAACAAAACAAAAGCAAAGCCAAATCACACCTCACATGAACACAAAATGCTCTTTGGACCAAGTGAAAAACTGGCTCAGAATTATAATATTACTAAAACATCTACACTGAACTGAGACGGAAGCATAAATATGAGGCACCTGATGAAAACACGGAACAATTCCACACCAGCCAAAAATGCTCTCAGGCCCACAAGGCAGCAAGAGGGTGTTTATGGACCACATCTGGGGATTCTGAGGCATAACTTGAGGTTGCTATTGTCTCCTTAATTTTGTGGTTTATGTACTATTCTGGCCTTTCCAATATCACATCCGCCTAGTGGCCCTGAGCAGAGAAGAAAGTTGGTCTTGCCTTGGGCCAGAAAACAAGACGCAATTGCACCTGCAGCTTGCCTTCTTGGGAACAGTCCCTCCTTCCCAGACTCCTGGGATGTGTGTTCGGCAGGGAGGGGAGTCCAGGAGGAGGATGCTTTAAGCCAAAGTGGTGCTGGAGGGGCTGGGCCTCAGCGCAGAGAGGGCAGGTCTCTCAGGATGAGGCTGAGCAGCCCCCGCCTGCCTGGCCACCTGCCAGGGAAGGGGCCTTCCAGAGAGGTGGGTTTCCAGGGGATCTGTGTGCCTAATCTTCAGCTTGTCTCACTGGTGGTGGGAGCAGGGAAGGGTGATATGCAAATGGGACTGTGTGTGTGTGTGTGTGTGTGAGAGAGAGAGAAGCAGACAGTACCTGCCTGTGTTTATCTAATGGTTGATAACTTGAGGACAACCTGGTAAAGCTTCAGATGCCCCATGAATTGCCAAGCTCTCTGTGACACTATGGTGTCCTTGCCCAAGGCAGTTATTTCCCCTTTTATCCTGGGGTGAGAAGGCTCGTATTAGAAAACACACATACGTTGAAATTAGAACTAGCAATAGAAGAGGTTTAAGGTTGGCTCAGAGATTCTGGGAAGAAATAATGTATGGTGCCCCAACTACATGGCAGGCAGTGCATAACCTTAATGACGTGGGCTGGCCCTGGGTACTACCACATTCCCACAGATAAACTCAGAGAGCAGGGATCAGCAACTGGGTTTTAGGCACTGCTGAATCAGCTGCTTTGCTGCCCCGCGAGCTCCTTTTAAGAAGTCTGCACCTCCTGGGAAGGGAGGATTCTCCCTCAAGCAGTGACAGCCCACCCCCTGGACACACCCAGAAAGCCCTCCAGGATGGTCCTGGGTCAGTACCAGGTGGGTGCTGGCTGCTCTCCATCCTCAAGGGAGTGCATACGAAACTTCCCTGGTATTGAAAAAAAAAAAAAAAAAAAAGCAAATCGGAGAGAGTAAAGAGGTCCTTGTGGATTCTTCTCTTCCTGTGTAAAACCAAATGCTGGGCGCGAGAGGGGAAAGTCTCAGTGGACACAGGGATGCAGCACGAGAAACACAACCACGAAGAGGAGAGTCCTCCATGCATGCCACCGCGTGTGGCCGCGGTCAGATGTAAACAGGCTGCTCCTGGGCCGTCAGCAGCCTGTACATCGCGGCTGGCATTGTCTTCATATGAATCTGAGGGTAAAGAACACACTTTAGTGGGGGGCTGAGGCTGGGGGCTGGCTGCGTGGGCACTGCCCAGGGCTGGCCAGAGAGGCAGTGCCTCTCCCACAGAGGGCTTTGAAGATACTCCCTACCGCCCAGCCACCACCAGGGACCTGACCCAGGGTGGCCTCCAGGAACAGTGGAATCCACTGACTTTCTCAAAAGCTTAGGGGTGACAGAAATGAACAACAAAAACCAAGCAAGGCTTATTTCTCAGTCAAATGCTCTCGCTCTCACCAGACCCTACCCTTTTAAAAGCAAGAACTCTGAAAATGGAGGAAGGGCTCCAGGCTTCTCAGGGTGCCTGCCTCCCTCATCTCTCTTGGCAGATGAGGCAAGGATGACAAATCAGCCCTAGAACAGCAGTGATGATTGATAGCAGTGATGAATGACAGCAGTGATGACTGACAGCAATGAATGACAGCAGTGTTGACTGACAGCAGTGATAAATCAATGACAGCAGTGATGACTGACAGCAGTGGTAACTGACAGCAGTGTTGACTGACAGCAGTGATAAATGAATGACAGCAGTGTTGACTGACAGCAGTGATAAATGAATGACAGCAGTGATGACTGACAGCAGTGATGAATGACAGCAGTGATGACTGACAGTAGTGATGACTGATAGGAGTGATGAATGGCAACAATGATGACTGACTGACAGCTGTGATGACTGACAGTAATGACACGTCATGCCACACTGCACTGGGGTCACACCTCTGGAAGGCCACTTTGTTGATTCAACTTGAGTCTAAGACTTAAATCTTTTAAAAACATTTGGGGAGATTAACTGGGGAAAATGGAGGCAACTTAGGCGGCCATACAGAAAAGCAACAGAAAGCTGAGTGTTAAAAAGAGAAGGTGAGCACATCAGATGAAAGAGAAGGCTGAGGGTGATCTGATTCCATTTCATGGAGGAGCTCCCAGATAACTGCTTGCTAATGGGTTTGGCATTTGGTCAGAGACAGGTCTGCTTGTTGGGGAGTGTTCAGGATTGGAAACTCAGGGAGCTTTCCTGGAAGGTCTGCTCAGGGCCACGGTGAGCATACGAGGCAGGGGCACCAGACGCGGCCCTCAGCACCACCCTCAGCCCCGGACCTCTCCTACCTCCCCAACAGCATTGGAGAGAATGTGGACGATCTTCTCGTGGGGGGTGGCCACGACGCTCTGTCCATTGATTTCAATGATCCGGTGCCCCACACGGACGCCTCCTCTCTCAGCTATTCCCCCTCGCATGAGGCTGCAGATCTGCCAGAGTCAAAGGCAGAGTTACCCTCATTGCAGACAGTGCGGTGGGGCTGGAAGGCCGTCTTTCCTGAAAGCCCCCTGCCCCTACACTCTGCTCTTGGAGAAACTGACATGGTTAGGCTTTGGGCATTTAACTCTCTTAGTGTCTTTTCACAAAAAAATAGGTGCCGTCGGCCCACATGGCCACCTTGTTCATGCGGCTTGCACAGAGACTGTAGCACATCACTGGTTTTTACGGCACACTGAATTCTACTTCTCATCCCAGCTGGGGCTGGGTAAAAAGGGCCATTTGGGTCTGTCGCAGAGTCGCCAGTGTTTCCAAACTGTCAGCCTGTGTGACACAGGTTAGTGTTAGTTCCCGTAGTCATGACTGGGACTCAAGCACTGAAGCGTTTAATGCCAGCAGACTGTTTTTAGGGTCACGATTGCCTGAGCCACCATGGGGCTGGAACTCCACTCCGTGTTCCAAAGTGTGGCTGGCTGGAGGGGAGAGACTCCTTCAGAGTTTCCCAATTCAGCGGCCCCTGTTCAAACTCCCTTCCCACAGAAAAGACAGTGAGGCTGGATTTTGTGATGGCACAGCCAGGTACCACAGTGACCCGAGGTTGCAGGCGGGGCTGATGCGCCCTCCACCCTTACCTCACACACACTACAACATAACTTTTCCCAAAAGAGTAGGTCTGAATTTACTAAGTTGGCTTTTCATTCCAGACCATGCACCTTTATTTAAAAGTGGATGCAGACAAGATTGCAAGTGACATCTTGCAGCAACATGCTGTGTGATTCTGAGTGTGTGGCCCAGCTGCTCTCTCAGCTAGTCTGGGGTCAAAACATTCCTTAGGTGTTTTCCCAGTGGACCCACACATGTTAACAACTCCTTGTTCGTATCTGAACTTTTAATGCAGTTTAACTATGAACAAAGCAAACAAGTACAAGTACAAACCAATGAAAAGATGATCTCAGAGCTAAACTGTAAAGAGTCACCCTAGATCCTCTCCTAATAGGCAAATTAGGCTACTCAGGTACAAAGAATGCAGGAAGTGGGGCTGGATATTTCAACTCCAAATGGGAAGTTCAAGGGTATTTCTAAACCTTCAAATGTATTTGGAATGATATTTTAATTACCTAGGACTTTTTTTTTTTTTTTTTTTTTAAGACAGAGTCTTGCTCTGTCACCTAGGCTGGAGTGCAGTGGCATAATCTCTGCTCACTGCAACCTTTGCCTCCCGGGTTCAGGTGATCCTCCTGCCTCACCCTCCTGAGTAGCTGGGATTACAGGTGCCCGCCACCACACCTGGCTACTTTTTGTATTTTTAGCAGAGACTGGGCTTTGCCATGTTGGCCAAGCTGGTCTCAAACTCCTGGCCTCAAGTGATCTGCCTGGCTTCGCCGGAAGGCCAAGGTTTGAAGGATCACTCAAATACCAAACTGTTCGAGTCCCAATTGTGACTGTGGGAACTGAGCCGGCCCCTGCACTGTACAGCCCCAGGCTTGGGAGTCAGCTGCTCTGCGGGACTCTGTGCAGCCAGGGTGGACAGTCCAGAGGCAAGGAGGCTCTTGGAGGGTGCATCCCAAACTCTCAAGCTGGCAGCCGGGAAGGCAGTCCTGCATGTCACAGAAACACTGGGTTCTGGGTGGGAATCTCTGCTGAAGGGACTCTGTCCAGAGAGGGAGCTGAGCCTCCTTCATCCACTCATACTCTTTCTTGATGGATTCCTTCAGGGAACAAACTGGCTTAAAACAAAAAAAAAAAAGTCAAAGGCCCTGGGAGCCTGGGATACCAGCACTTTGGGAGGCAGAGGCAGGTGGATCACAAGGTCAGGAGTTCAAGACCGGCCTGGCCAGTATGGTGAAACCATGCCTCTACTAAAAATACAAAAATTAGCCGGGCGTGGTGGCACGTGCCTGTAGTCCCAGCTACTCAGGAGGCTGAGGCAGGAGAATCCCTTGAACCCAGGAGGTGGAGGTTGCAGTGAGCCGAGATCGTGCCACTGTACTCCATCTTGGATGACAGAGCGAGACTCCATCTCAATTTAAAAAAAAAAAAAAAGGCCATGCTACATTTTTTTAAAGCATTCCAACAGATGTTTATTATTACTAAAATGTCCACTTTAACGTTTTTATTATTATTAGTATACTTTAAGTTTTAGGGTACATGGGCACAACGTGCAGGTTTGTTACATATGTATACATGTGCCATGTTGGTGTGCTACACCCATTAACTCGTCATTTAGCATTAGGTATATCTCCTAATGCTATCCCTCCCCCCTCCCCCCACCCCACAACAGTCCCCAGTGTGTGATGTTCCCCTTCCTGTGTCCATGTGTTCTCATTGTTCAATTCCCACCTATGAGTGAGAACATGCAGTGTTGGTTTTTTGTCCTTGCCATAGTTTTCTGAGAATGATGGTTTCTAGCTTCATCCATGTCCCTACAAAGGACATGAACTCATCCTTTTTTATGGCTGCATAGTATTCCATGGTGTATATGTGCCACATTTTCTTAATCTAGTCTATCATTGTTGGACATTTGGGTTGGTTCCAAGTCTTTGCTATTGTGAATAGTGCCACAATAAACATACGTGTGCATGTGTCTTTGCAGCAGCATGATTTATAGTCCTTTGGGTGTATACCCAGTAATGGGATGGCTGGGTCAAATGGTATTTCTAGTTCTAGATCCCTGAGGAATCGCCACACTGACTTCCACAATGGTTGAACTAGTTTACAGTCCCACCAACAGTGTAAAAGTGTTCGTATTTCTCCACATCCTCTCCAGCACCTGTTGTTTCCTGACTTTTTAATGATCGCCATTCTAACTGGTGTGAGATGGTATCTCATTGTGGTTTTGATTTGCATTTCTCTGATGGCCAGTGATGATGAGCATTTTTTCATGTGTCTTTTGGCTGCATAAATGTCATCTTTTGAGAAGTGTTTGTTCATATCCTTCATCCACTTTTTGATGGGGTTGTTTTTTTCTTGTAAATTTGTTTGAGTTCATTGTAGATTCTGGATATTAGCCCTTTGTCAGATGAGCAGGTTGTAAAAATTTTCTCCCTTTCTGTAGGTTGCCTGTTCACTCCGATGGTAGTTTCTTTTGCTGTGCAGAAGCTCTTGAGTTTAATTAGATCCCATTTGTCAATTATGGCTTTTGTTGCCATTGCTTTTGGTGTTTTAGACATGAAGTACTTGCCCATGCCTATGTCCTGAATGGTATTGCCTAGGGTTTTTATGGTTTTAGGTCTAACATGTAGGTCTTTAATCCATCTTGAATTAATTTTTTATAAGGTGTAAGGAAGGGACCCAATTTCAGCTTTCTACATATGGCTAGCCAGTTTTCCCAGCACCATTTATTAAATAGGGAATCCTTTCCCCCATTGCTTGTTTTTCTCAGGTTTGTCAAAGATCAGACAGTTGTAGATATGTGGCATTATTTCTGAGGGCTCTGTTCTGTTCCATTGGTCTATATCTCTGTTTGGTACCAGTACCATGCTGTTTTGGTTACTATAGCCTTGTAGTATAGTTTGAAGTCAGGTAGCGTGATGCCTCCAGCTTTGTTCTTTTAGCTTAGGATTGACTTGGCAATGTGGGCTCTTTTTTGGTTCCATATGAATTTTAAAGTAGTTTTTTCCAATTCTGTGAAGAAAGTCATTGGTAGCTTGATGGGGATGGCATTGAATCTATAAATTACCTTGGGCAGTATGGCCATTTTCATGATATTGATTCTTCCTACCCATGAGCATGGAATGTTCTTCCATTTCTTTGTATCCTCCTTTATTTCCTTGAGCAGTGGTTTGTAGTTCTCCTTGAAGAGGTCCTTCACATCCCTTGTAAGTTGGATTCCTAGGTATTGTATTCTCTTTGAAGCAATTGTGAATGGGAGTTCACTCATGATTTGGCTCTCTGTTTGTTGTTGGTGTATAAGAATGCTTGTGATTTTTGCACATTGATTTTGTATCCTGAGACTTTGCTGAAGTTGCTTATCAGCTTAAGGAGATTTTGGGCTGAGACAGTGGGGTTTTCTAGATATACAATCATGTCATCTGCAAACAGGGATAATTTGACTTCCTCTTTTCCTAATTGAATGCCCTTTATTTCCTTCTCCTGCCTAATTGCCCTGGCCAGAACTTCCAAAACTATGTTGAATAGGAGTGGTGAGAGAGGGCATCCCTGTCTTGTGCCAGTTTTCAAAGGGAATGCTTCCAGTTTTTGTCCATTCGGTATGATATTGGCTGTGGGTTTGTCATAGATAGCTCTTATTATTTTGAGATACATCCCATCAATACCTAATTTATTGAGAGTTTTTTAGCATGAAGCGTTGTTGAATTTTGTCAAAGGCCTTTTCTGCATCTATTGAGATAATCATATGGTTTTTGTCTTTGGTTCTGTTTATATGATGGATTATGTTAATTGATTTTTGTATGTTGAACCAGCCTTGCATCCCAGGGATGAAGCCCACTTGATCATGGTGGATAAGCTTTTTGATGTGTTGCTGGATTCAGTTTGCCAGTATTTTATTGAGGATTTTTGCATCAATGTTCATCAACGATATTGGTCTAAAATTATCTTTTTTGGTTGTGTCTCTGCCCGGCTTTGGTATCAGAATGATGCTGGCCTCATAAAATGAGTTAGGGAGGATTCCCTCTTTTTCTATTGATTGGAATAGTTTCAGAAGGAATGCTACCAGCTCCTCCTTGTACCTCTGGTAGAATTCGGCTGTGAATCCATCTGGTCCTGGACTCTTTTTGGTTGGTAAGCTATTAATTATTGGCTCAATTTCAGAGCCTGTTATTGGTCTATTCAGAGATTCAACTTCTTCCTGGTTTAGTCTTGGGAGGGTGTATGTGTTGAGGAATTTATCCATTTCTTCTAGATTTTCTAGTTTATTTGAGTAGAGGTGTTTATAGTATTCTCTGATGGTAGTTTGTATTTCTGTGGGATCATTGGTGATATCCCCTTTGTCATTTTTTATTGCGTCTATTTGATTCTTCTCTCTTTTCTTCTTTATTAGTCTTGCTAGCGGTCTATCAATTTTGTTGATCTTTTCAAAAAACCAGCTCCTGGATTCATTGATTTTTTGAAGGGTTTTTTGTGTCTCTATTTCCTTCAGTTCTGCTCTGATCTGAGTTATTTCTTGCCTTCTGCTAGCTTTTGAATGTGTTTGCTCTTGCTTCTCTAGTTCTTTCAATTGTGATGTTAGGGTGTCAATTTTAGATCTTTCCTGCTTTCTCTTGTGGGCATTTAGTGCTATAAATTTCCCTCTACACACTGCTTTGAATGTGTCCCAGAGATTCTGGTATGTTGTGTCTTTGTTCTCGTTGGTTTCAAAGAACATCTTTATTTCTGCCTTCATTTCGTTATGTACCCAGTAGTCATTCAGGAGCAGGTTGTTCAGTTTCCATGTAGTTGAGTGGTTTTGAGTGAGTTTCTTAATCCTGAGTTCTAGTTTGATTGCACTGTGGTCTGAGAGACAGTTTGTTATAATTTCTGTTCTTTTACATTTGCTGAGGAGTGCTTTACTTCCAACTATGTGGTCAATTTTGGAATAGGTGTGGGGTGGTGCTGAAAAGAATGTATATTCTGTTGATTTGGGGTGGAGAGTTCTGTAGATGTCTGTTAGGTCCGCTTTGTGCAGAGCTGAGTTCAATTCCTGGATATCCTTGTTAACTTTCTGTCTCATTGATCTGTGTAATGTTGACAATGGGGTGTTAAAATCTCCCATTATTATTGTGTGTGAGTCTAAGTCTCTTTGTAGGTCACTAAGGACTTGCTTTATGAATCTGGGTGCTCCTGTATTGGGTGCATGTATATTTAGGAGTGTTAGTTCTTCTTGTTGAATTGATCCCTTTACCATTATGTAATGGCCTTCTTTGTCTCTTTTGATCTTTGTTGGTTTAAAGTCTGTTTTATCCGATACTAGGATTGAAACCCCTGCCTTTTTTTGTTTTCCGTTTGCTTGGTAGATCTTCCTCCATCCCTTTATTTTGAGCCTATGTGTGTCTCTGCACATGAGATTGGTTTCCTGAATACAGCACATGGATGGGTCTTGACTCTTTATCCAATTTGCCAGTCTGTGCCTTTTAATTGGAGCATTTAGCCCATTTACATTTAAGGTTAGTATTGTTATGTGTGAATTTGATCCTGTCATTATGATGTTAGCTGGTTATTTTGCTCGTTAGTTGATGCAGTTTTTTCCTAGCCTCGATGGTCTTTACAATTTGGCATGTTTTTGCAGTGGCTGTTACTGGTTATTCCTTTCCATGTTTAGTGCTTCCTTCAGGAGCTGTTTTACAGCAGGTCTGGTGGTGACAAAAATCTCTCAGCATTTGCTTGTCTGTAATGTACTTTATTTCTCCTTCACTTATGAAGTTTAGTTTGGCTGGATATGAAATTCTGGCTTGAAAATTCTTTTCTTTAAGAATGTTGAATATTGGCCCCACTCTCTTCTGGCTTGTAGAGTTTCTGCCAAGAGATCCGCTGTTAGTCTGATGGGCTTCCCTTTGTGGGTAACCTGACCTTTCTCTCTGGCTGCCCTTAACGTTTTTTCCTTCATTTCAACTTTGGTGAATCTGACAATTATGTGTCTTGGAGTTCTCTTCTCGAGGAGTATCTTTGTGGCGTTCTCTGTATTTCCTGAATTTGAATGTTGGTCTGCCTTGCTAGATTGGGGAAATTCTCCTGGATAATATCCTGCAGAGTGTTTTCCAACTTGGTTCCATTCTCCCCGTCACTTTCAGGTACACCAATCAGACGTAGATTTGGTCTTTTCACATAGTCCCATATTTCTTGGAGGCTTTGTTCCTATCTATCTATCTTTTTATTCTTTTTTCTCTAAAATCCTCTTTATGCTTCATTTCATTCATTTCATCTTCCATTGCTGATACCCTTTCTTCCAGTTGATCACATCGGTTACTGAGGCTTGTGCATTTGTCACATTCTTGTAGTGTGGTTTTCAGCTCCATCAGGTCCTTTAAGGACTTCTCTGCATTGGTTATTCTAGTTATCCATTCGTCTAATTTTTTTTCAAAGTTTTTCACTTCTTTGCCATTGGTTTGAACTTCCTCCTTTAGCTCAGAGTAGTTTGATCTTCTGAAGCCTTCTTCTCTCAACTCGTCAAAGTCATTCTCCATCCAGCTTTGTTCCGTTGCTGGTAAGGAGCTGTGTTCCTTTGCAGGAGGAGAGGTGCTCTGGTTTGTAGAGTTTCTGGTTTTTCTGCTCTGTTTTTTCCCCATCTTTGTGGTTTTATCTACCTTTGGTCTTTGATGATGCTGACGTACAGATGGGTTTTTGGTTTGGATGTCCTTTCTGTTTGTTAGTTTTCCTTCTAACAGTCAGGACCCTCAGCTGCAGGTCTGTTGGAGTTTACTGGAGGTCCACTCCAGACCCTGTTTGCCTGGGTATCAGCAGCAGTGGCTGCAGAACAGCGGATATTGGTGAACCGCAAATGCTGCTGCCTGATCGTTCCTCTGGAAGTTTTGTCTCAGAGGAGTACCCGGCTGTGTGAGGTGTCAGTCTGCTCCTACTGGGGGGTGCCTCCCAGTTAGGCTACTCAGGGGTCAGGGACACACTTCAGGAGGCAGTCTGCCCATTCTCAGATCTCAAGCTGTGTGCTGGGAGAACCACTACTCTCTTCAAAGCTGTCAGACAGGGACATTTAAGTCTGTAGAGGTTACTGCTGCCTTTTGTTTGTCTGTGCCCTGCCCCCAGAGGTGGAGCCTACAGAGGCAGGCAGGCCTCCTTGAGCTGTAGTGGGCTCCACCCCGTTCGAGCTTCCCCGCTGCTTTGTTTACCTACTCAAGCCTGGGCAATGGTGGGTGCCCCTCCCCCAGCCTCGCTGCCACCTTGCAGTTTGATCTCAGACTGCTGTGCTAGCAATGAGTGAGGCTCCATGGGCGTAGGACCCTCCGAGCCAGGTGTGGGGTATAATCTCCTGGTGTGCCGTTTGTTATGCCCATTGGAAAAGTGCAGTATTAGGGTGGGAGTGACCCGATTTTCCAGGTGCTGTCTGTCACCCCTTTCTTTGACTAGGAAAGGGAATTCCCTGACCCCTTGCGCTTCCCGGGTGAGGCGATGCCTTGTCCTGCTTCAGCTCTTGCACAGTGCGCTGCACCCACTGTCCTGCACCCACTGACCGGCACTCCCCAGTGAGATGAACCTGGTACCTCAGTTGGAAATGCAGAAATTACCCGTCTTCTGCATCACTCACGCTGGGAGTTGTAGACTGGAGCTGTTCCTATTTAGCCATCTTGGCTCCACCCCCCCAGCCATGCTACATTTTTATTTGTCAACATTGTGGAAAAGGGTGTGGAAGGTGTTCTACTTACAATTCCATTCTGGACGCTGAAACCGAGCTGGTAGCGAAGGTCTGGTCTTCTGATTAACACGGTGGTCACCGGAGGACATCTCACGATATTCAGCTTGACTCGGGACTGATTCTTTAAGCCCTTAAACATGAATAAAGTACAGTGGGTATGGTGACCACTGAGGCAGACAGAATAAACAAAAGCAGGCAGCACCAAAGGCAAAAGAAGCTGCACTGAGTCTTCCGAAGGACCCACTGCCTGCTTGCCTGCAGGCCTCTGGTGCCTGGGCTGGTACAGTCACTGCTCGGCTTCACCTACCCAGGGCTAAGACGCCACATGTTGCAGATGGAGCCCTCTTAGCCCACGCACAGATGGGGTTCCTGTGGGCAATGCCTTCCTTTTGGGAAGTGGGCTGGGTTCAAGGGATCTGATCAAAGTACTTGTGCAACTATGAGGAAGTATCAGATGTCCTTTTTGGCTTCAAAGATGAAGGAGGCACACTATTTCCCCCAGCCAGGAGCAACATGAGTGGGAAATGGACTTTTCTTCTGAAAGGCAAACTCTAGCAATGACTCCTCTTCTAACAAAGGACATCTAACTCACAGCAACTGGCCTGATTCATCATGGCTCTTTTCTCTTGTCTCTGATGCTCCTCTTTCCCCTTCTTTCTGCCAGTTAGAGATTTTATAGCTGTCAACATTCCCACAGCAACCAGGGACTCCAATCAGTGTGTGCCTCCTTGGGAGAATGGGGAGGGTTGTAGGATGGGTGTTGATGGAGAAGGAAGAGGAAGAAATACGACTTGCAGACTGTTGTTTCATGATCCCTGATGACACACCTCTCCCTCTAAATTAAAATGGAGCGTAGAGGGAAAGCTGATCTTCGACTATAAAAAGGAACTAGTTTCAGAGACTATGTAGAAAGCTTCCACCTCTGTGTGGTCTGAGCTGAGCTCAGGCTCCTGCTCCTGTCCCCTGATCAGACTCACAGCAGTGACAGAAGCCCTGGTGTGCTCAGAAGCATCTTTAGAAAACCATCACAAGGCTACACTTGCCCTCTGCTGGGTGGTGGGAAGGTTTGCTCCTGCAGGCCTGACCACTGACTTGTCAGCTTCACCCTAGAGGAGGGTGCCAGGCAAAAGGAACTCAGCCCTGAAACAAATGTCCACTTCCAGTCTCCCCAGGGTGCCTGCTGTGCCTCAACAAACTCCTCATTGCCACATGGAGGAGAAGGAATGGCTGATAGCAGGTGCCTTCCCACCCCTTTCAAGTCATGGTATGCAGGAGGATCATGTTTGCATGCTGGGGTAAACAGACCACACTGTTGTAGCTGCAGGCCCTGCAGCCCCTGGCCCTGCTATAAGAGCTGAGGCAGCGGGGGTCATAGCCCTCAGTGGGAAGCACCTGCCCAACTGGACTCCCATCTATAAGGCCAGCTGCCTGGGAAACCGCTCAAGTTCAGCCCCAGGCCCACTACTCCAAAGGGAACTGTGGGGTGGGTGGGAGGAGAGGTGGGTAACTTTTCCTGCAGGAGAGAACAGCTACCAGGGAATGAGGAGGGACTCAGGGAAAAGGCAAGCTCTGTTCTATCCAAGCCCACAGTATCGCTCAGAGACAGCACCTGCTCAGTTCACAAGTGAGTGGGTCCAGTTTGCGCCCTCTACGAGTGAAGTGGAAAGAGGACCTGTAAAGAACAGTGACAAATCCAAGAAAAGCATGCATGAAGGGTGATCGTCTGCCTCTTATTCTATAAATAGAATTCTGTAAATTCCACAGCCACTACTGCTGTCACTCCTTGACCAGTCTACCAAATCTTTTTCAGTGCGAGGTCAGGACTTACATTTCACATTTTAAAGATGAAGACATAGACACAGATTGCTTTGTCCAAGGGCTCTGTGGGGTCAGGACTGGAACTATGGATCCCTGCTCAGGTACCCTGCCTGGCAGAGGCGTGAAACTGGTGTTAGACAACTTCACTGCAAACAGAATCTGTAGCAAGAGTGCTTCTTGGAGTGGCAGAAATGACCTATACCCCTTTTGTATCTGAGTTACAGGATATGCTTTAGATTGAGGGAGAGGTAGGGGCTATTTTGCCTCTGGTTATCCAGCTTTACTATGCTTGGCCAGCAGGTGTACACCAATGGCTCTTAAACCCCACACAGCAGCAGCAGCAGCCCCTGGCCACTTTTTAGAAGTGCAGATTCTGGGCTCTACCCAAGCCCCACTGAATCAGAAAACCTAGGGGTGGGACCCAGGAATCTGTGGATGACAAATCTCCCAGATGATTCAGGTGCACGCTCAATTTTGCGAACAACTGTTGTGGACTACTACTGCAGAACAATGAATGACCTCATCTGCATCCAGGTGGCTTAATTTCTCCATGGATGATTACACCCAAAGATGTCAATTTACTAGTCACACCTGCAGCCAGTGTGCTCAGTGAGAGCAGGCGCTGGCAAGGGTGGGGTGAGGGTGACATCTTGTGGGAAATTTTGTTTGCCCAGTCACTATACAGCTGACCCCTGTTCAGCCATCTGCATGTCTATGTCATGCAGGAACACCCCTAAGATCACTGCTGCATCAAAACCCACCCTGATGATGAAACTAATTGAACCAAAATGACTGTAACTACCTGTCATTGAACACTCACTGTTATCTGGCATTAACCTGGAAAGGACAGGAGCTGTCTCATTTAATGTGGCTGTAATTATTTCTATATTATAGAAGAGGAAACTGAGGCTCAGAGATTTTAAATGACTCACTCACATTCACACACAGCAAGATTCAATCCTATGTCTGTCCGCATTCAAAACGCACAGTATTTCTACACCATAATGCCCCATATACACAACCAGAGAGGGTGTGTCTTTTGTGAATAAGGCTTGCTCCACAAAGACAACAGGGTCAGCCACAGAACAAATCTGTGTCCCCAAATTCCAGCCTTGAATTGGGGCCATCTTTTTAGTTCATTTTCCTACGTGGCAAGAGTTTTTCGGGGTTCCTGGTCCTCATAATCCCCCACCCCCTGGCTTCCCCACTGACTTCTGCTTCTAGTTTGTGCTCCTAATGTGTGAATTTTGATGGAACTCAATTTCCCCGCCGTCAGCATCTGCTCCCCCCGTGCTCTGAATTCCTCTGCTTTCTGCAGGACTTGAGCCTCCCCATGGCTGTCACTCAGCTTGTGGCCTCGATGTACCATGCGACTTAGCATTCACATTCATGTGGCATCTCCTGGTGGTTTTGGAACATCTCCAGGGAACTGCTCTGGTTAAGGAAATGATTCCAAAGCACAGCAATGGAATGAGTGTGATTCTCCCTGGGGAAATGAACATCTGTGAAGGATCCAGGCCTTCCATATGCGGCAGATCCCATCGTCCCCATCGACAAAGGGAGATGCTCTGGCCTTCTGCTCCTATCAATAGGACCAGCACAGCCTGGTGAAGAGGACTCTTGTGGTGTCAGAAAACCTGAACTCAAGTTTTGTTTCTGCTACCCCAAGCAGTGGGATCTGAAGCCCTTTGCTGGCCCTTCTCCCACCTCAATTTCCTCATCTTCACAACAAATGGTGAAGCTCACTAATGTCTCTGGCAGTCCTAATTTCAATGATTGCACCCCCTTTAATGTGTTTATTCCTAAATGTCTTTGCCTTTAACACCAAATCTCAACCATTATGCTTAAACCTATTCCTAAAATTTAAAGTGGGCTTCTTTTGTGGGGCTAGGAGGTACGGTGGAGAGCAGCTCAGACATTCATGCAGATATTTTTATCTGCTTTGAGTGCTTCCTCCTTTCCATCCACCTAATCAATAAATATTTACGAATCACTTGTCATGTGCCAAGAAATGTGTTAGGCACTGGAGATTCAGGGAAGCGCACCCTCTCCGGGGCTGGATAAGAGACATTATCAGTACTAAGCACAGGGCTCTGAGCCCAGAGGGGGCTGGAGTCCCTTCACCCTTTTCTCTCTAATCACACACCAGGAGACCAGGAATTTGTGGGAAAGAAGAGAGATGAATGATGAAGACAGGAGCATGTTGTTGGAATCTCAACCCTTCAGGCAAAGCCACCTGCTTTAAATGTTTACGCCTATTAACCACTGAGATTATTTAGGTATGCTTGTGTGATACAGAAAATGTTACCCAACATACCGAAAAGCAAGAGAATGACTCTATTTTCTCAATGTTGCCTAAAAAATTCATATTGCTCTGGTGGGTTCTTTCCGGTTCTTTCCTTCTCTGTGAATTGATTTGGGATGCCTGATCTGTCCCTCAGTGAAAAATTTTCTAGATTGGGGAAAATGTGTTGCAAGATGAAGCTTAGAGAAATAGCAATTTGAAATAACGAGACCATGCATTTGCTCTGCTGTTCCTAATCAATGTTTCATGTTGGGTCCCATTAACTTGGATTTCTGAGCTGCCATTTTATTGGAGGTGCCAATTAAATAAAGGGTCATTTGGTCCCCATGACAACAGTGGAACGGTACAGCAAATTAAGAAATCTGGTGGGAGGGGAAGCCCAGAGAAGAGGGGCGAAGAGAGAAAAGAGAAGCCAGAATGGTCTCTATAGCAACGGGAGAGCAGAACCATGATGCTCCTGGGGAAGCAAGGGAAGCTGTGCGCTATTCTAAAACAGAGCAAAAACCCAGAGGGCAGGACCACAGAGGCAAAGGCACAGAAAGAGGCAGCCTGTAAAATGTTCCACCCACCAATAATTATGCCTTGGGAATTAATTATGACCCAAAAAATAAGGTAGGAAGAGTAAGGCAAGTCAATACCTATAATTCTACTCTAGAAATTGATTTCCTGTAACCTGGGGGGACAATAGTCAACCAGTATTGAAGTGGCCAGATGCAGAATGCACACTTTGGATCCCTGTTCCTGAAAGTGTAGCCTGCAGACTGGTGATGCCATCCCCGCCGCAAAGCCTGCCAAAAATGCAGAATTCCACCCTATACCTGCTGAATCAGACCTGCATTCTAACAAGATCCCCAGGTGATTCCAATCAGTTTGAGAAGCACTGATTCATCAGGATGAGAGTTGCTTGTCAAAGTCACTGCAAAGAGCATGGACATACACTGAAACAAATTTGAACACAGCCTTGAAGTGGTCCAGATGCTGCTCTGCAGTGGCCCGAGGGGTGGGGGTAGGGCAGTGTGCACATCTGTCCAGGTGCAGGCAAAAAGGGGTGTGTTTTCTAGAGAATTTTAAAAAGGTGATACGACCCACTGATGTCAGTCTGTATTTGGTACTGGTGATTCTGGCTGTTATCAGTGGTTACACCTCCCACCAGCCAGGGTGGTCCACGGACGGACCATCACATTTCCCCATTCAACAAGCGGCGCACTGTGGCAGGGAGGAAGTTCAGCTGTGCTCTAATCGGGGTCTGCCCTGCTAAGTACTTCTTCACTATGGGTGGCCACGAAAGCACTGCTTTTCTTTTCTTACTCTTCATCTTCATCAGTTACATCTCTTTTATCACCACTCGGCCTTTTAATTTTCTGGTTCTATAGAGATTACATTTATAGACATCAAAGTTCAGCTCCTCAAACAATCCATTTCCCCTTAGGAAACTGTGCAGACAGAGCTCCGTCTGTACTCCAGCAAGCTTTGCTTCCACCTTGATGCTGTGGCAGCTGCAGAGGGAGTCAGGCTGCCCTCATAGCCTCACTGCTTCCCTCCTCTGGTCCCCACGCAGATAAGGAAGGAGCGATTCGCAGGAGGGTGGGGACTCACTGGCCAGCTGGGGGCCCTGGGCAAGTCTCCTGTGCCTTTAGAGTCTCTGATGGCCCATCTGTGCACCTAGCATCTGCTGTCCCCCTTGTGGGCTGTCCTGAGGAGGAAAGGAGGTGACTCCAGGCCATGAGCTGGAGTCTTAAGGGCCTCAGGAAGCGCGGCTTGTTCCTGCCCAGGCCCCATCCCCACCTTTACTTAAGTCCTCCCCTTGTCTGAGTCTGTTCTTAGTCTGCCATGACAAAGTACCACAGACTAGGTGGCTTATAAACAACAGGCATTTATCCCTCACAGTTCTGGAGGCTGGAAGTCTGAGCTCAGCGTACCAGCACTGTCAGGTTCTGGCAAGAGCCCCTTCTGAGTTGCAGATGGCCAACTTCTAGCATCTTCACATACCAAAAGAGAGCTTGCTGGGGTCCCTTTTTTAAGGGCACTAATCCCAACCATGAGGGCTCCACCCTCCTGCTAATCACTTCCTAAAGGCTCCACCTCCAAATAACATCACATTGGGATTAGGGTTTCAATATGTATTTGGAGGGAACACAAATATTACTCAATACTTTACTTAACCCCCTATCCCCGCTCCTCCTCCCCAACCCTTCTAGACTCAGACCAACTCCCCACAAACCATCCCTAACCAGCTTCCCTCTCTCATCGATTTCTCTCTCTTGCATCTGAACTCCTATGCCGCTCAGGCAGTTTCTCAACCTCAGCACTACCTACATTTGGGGCTGGATAACTCTGTGCTGTGGGGCTGTCCTGTGCATTGTAGGATGTTTGACAGTATCCCTGGCCTCTACCCACTGGATGCTGGCAGCACCTTCTCCTCCGTGACAACCCAAACAGTCTCCATACATTTTGGGGGATGAAGATCACCCCTGGCTGAGAAGTACTGCCCCATGGTCTGGCCTTGGGCCTAGCATTTCACCTGACACCCTCCCTGGGATGACTCTGTATTGGAGGCTGTATGACCACAGACGATTACATCATCTTGCTGTGCCTCAGCTTCCTAGCTTGTACAATGGGTACAAAATAGTACCTGCCCACAGAATGCTGCCCCGAAGGCTCAGCAAGTCAGTCCACACATATTCTCAGAGCATCCAGAGCACAGACACACAGCACTGAGCACTGTGAGCCATAAGTCCTTTCACTTCTCCTCAAACCGACCAAGCTCCCTGGGGGGCAGGGACTGTGTCCACGGGGCCCCTGGGTCCCACAGCCCCTCAGCAGTTCTCATGCATGCACCCAAGGTGTTTAATAAGCAACTTGCTCACTGGCAGGAGCGACTTGTGGTCCTGCCTCCCTAGCCCCACCCCCCCGCTTGCCTCTCCATGCAATCACAGCAACACCAGACCAGCCGTTCCGGGCCAGGCTCAGACCCCATCTCTCCCTGACTCAACACCGGCCCCTGTCCATCAATTCAAGCAGAAACTTCCAAACGCCACTTCCCTTTCTGCTACCTACCTAGGTTTTATTCCTTCAAGGTCAACTTTAAAATCACATAAAATTGTCCATCTAATCACTTGTAGCCTCTCACCTTTATGTTGGCCGCAGAGCCCTTGCACGTCTCTAATTATCCTGCACATGCACACTGGCAAGCCAGCTTCCTCAGAGCGCAGCTCAGTGCCTCACAGAGGCCCAATTAAACCTTTCTGAATGAATATCCATGTTCAAAGTTGATTCTCTAATCTTACCTTTAACGTGTATTAAGCAAGAGGTAGAATTTATTTAAGTATAAGATATAAGAAAAAGAAATTAAAGGAGGCCAAAGAGGACTATTTCTTTCCAGATGTGATTATCTTATGTGAAATTAGAATTTACTCCATTTCATTAAAAACAAAAAGTCACCATCCATGTGTCCTATACACTCACCTTCACCTCCCACCCCCACCCCCTTAGCTGAGGAGGCTGGCTTTGTGATTTTTCTTTTGCTCACAATGACTATTTGCACGAATTAATCCCCTTCCTTCTCCCTCTCTCTCACACATGCACATACGCACACAGCTATGTTCCAGCTAAGTCTTTCAGGAAACCCCTACAGGACCCCAAAAAACGCTGTGGAATCTCAGTCTAGCTACAGTACCGCAGCACTTGGTGCAGAGCTACTGGGGTCTACAGATGCCATCATGGAGGAGGAACATCCTGGTCACACTGGCCATGCATTCAGCAAGTCCCAATGTGCTCAAAAAACTCCACATGAATGCTTCATGTCTAAAGAAAATCTCATTTCTTCTCAAGTATTCACATTTAATTTTCCTTTAAGTAGCTCTTCTTAGCTTTATAAGCATCAGTTCAGGTTGAGCAGGAAGTATGCTCAGGTATGAAAAAGCTTCCATGGACTGGAAGAGAGTTTCCTCCTCCTTCTGGCAATGAGCACATGTGAGTTGCTTTACCCGGGGTCTGAGGGAGGACAAACTCACCTGCATCATAGTCAGGGCCACTGGGAAGGAAAAAGCACTCTCAGATTTGAAGCATTTCTGACATTTTTGACAGGGATGGTAAATCATGCCAAGTGTATCTGGCTGACTATAAGTGACTGTCTGGATTCCCAAGCTGAGGCCATTTCTGTTGAGGCTGAGTCTGGGCTTAGTGGGAGAATGCTGTGATTGACTAGTGATGCTGTGATGGACATGCTGCTATCAGAAAGTAGTGTCATGTGAACCAAATACACTTCCCCTAATCTAAATTGATTTCAGGGAAGAATCTGTAAACAGTAACTTGATGGTAAGCTTCCTGAGTGCAAGTCCACGCCTTTTGTGTTTGTGTCTTCCTTGGTGCCTGACACTTTGAATATGTTCATATACATTAATGACTGGATGGGGGTCACACTTCACATCACTTGAGGTTTACCACATCAACTGATTTTTCCCATATTCAGGTACCTTAATAATGCTCTGGCAGGTGGACAGAGGCAGGCCCACCAGGCTGGTGCCATTAATGGACATGATCTGGTCACCGATATTCAGCTTCCCAGATTTCTCCGCAGGGCCACCATGCATCATGTTGGCAATGATCACGGTGGGGAGGATGGATCCCCAGCCAGACTCCACAATCACCACACCTAGGATTTCTCCTTTCTGCTTCTCTATGAAAACCTGGAAGGAGAAAAACATTTAGAAAACCTCCATCAGTGACCATCTGGGGTAGGTAGAAATGAAAGCCTCTCCCCCATTCCTGTCTTGCCTAAAGAAAGACACTTCCCTGGGGACACCAACCCAGATGAGTTCCTGTCTTCTCAGCATTCCGCATATTTGGAGTTTTTAAGAAATGAATTCACACAGGTCTACACTCTTTTGTAATTCACTCGTTTCACATAAGCAAACTTGCCTCAGCACACAACCATGAGGACCACCAGTTTTTTTTTTTTTTTTTTTTTTTTTTAATTTCTTCAGTCCTGTCCTCAGTGGCAGGGGATGAGGCTCTGTGGGTGGGTGGTGTGTTATGGTTTCTAGAAATAGCTTTTCAAATTCCATGCGCAGGTTCCCCCTCCCACAGTGCTTCCCCAATTCGCTCCGACATTTAATTTTCTTGAGTTAAAAATAAATAAACACACAGAAACACTTCTCTGCAAGGAAAAAGTTGAGAAAAAAGAAAAAGTGATGCTGAAGTTATCACAACCAAAAGGCTGGGTGTGCACACAGGAAGTGCATATCCTGGATACACAGACTTTTCACAACCTTCACTGGCAGGGCAGAGAAGACAGGGGTTGATGTTGGATACTTGCACTCTGGGGAGGCCTGCAGATATGCCACTAAAAGGTACCACACCTCTTGGAAGCACCCAACAGAGTGTGTATGTGTATTTTTGGGGGGCTTGACAAAGTCCCCTTCACAGGTTGGTGTCTGCTTCCCCCAGCTGCTGAAGCTTACAGTCAGCCCCTTCCCTGGAGAACTGTCCTTAGCTGAAAGGGAGACACATTCTGTTAAGGTTGAATTGTGTCCCCCCAAAATTTGTATGTTGAATTACCAACCCCCAGTGCCTTTGACTTAGATTGTGACTTTATTTGGAGATAAGGTCTTAGCAGAGGTAACCAATTTTAAATGAGGTGATTAATATGGACTCTAATCCAATATTACTCATGTCCTTATTTAAGAAGAGGAATGGTTGTCTGTCATGGGTATCAAAAAAAAAAAGAGGAAATTTGGACATAGGGACATGCATGGAGAAAGGCTGATGTGAAGACACAGCATGAAGACAGCCATCTACAAGCCAGAGAAAGGCTTGGAACAGATTCTTCTCTCACGGCTCTCAGAAGGAACCAATGCTAACAACACCTTGCTTTTGGACTTCTGGCCACAAGGTCTGTGAGACAATAGGTTTGTGTTGTTGAAGTCACCCAGTCCATGGTACTTTGTGACAACAGCCCTAGTAAATTCATATACCCCCTGTCCAGCCTTGGCCAATAACCGGCATGGGGTACAAAGGCTTGCCAGCTCCCTCGCTCCAAGGTGAGACAAATCTGTCCTGCAATATGTGCCATGGAGCTTCCCTCTGGACAGAAGGAAGCTCATGTCCAAGGGACCACACCCTTACTTGGTGTCCCACCACCAAGCTTCCCACATCCCTTCTGTTCTGAGGCACTCTCCCAACAAACCTCTGTGACAAGAATCCCTGCCTCAGGCTCTGCTTCTGGGGAATCTGACCTAAGACACCTGACAGACCCCAGTGGATCAAATGATCACTTTCTCATTAAAAGTTCTTTTTACCTATGGGATCAAGTCCAAACCCCTCAGCTGGACTTGCAGGCCCTCCAGTTCTGACCCAGATCTCAGGCCCATCTATCTCCTTTCCTGTGCCTACCTCCTGCTCTAGCCAAACCGTATTTCCTCATTCCCTAGACAAATGTGGAGCTTTCTGATCTCCAGGCTTCCAACCATTCCATAGACCCCACCCTCGGCTTGCCCCTACAATCCCCAGATCGCCAGACCAGCTTGGATAGCCTCATCTTCCTACAGGCATTCCTGAATAGCTCAGTTTGAAGCCACAGGCCATCCCCAGAGAAGCACAGCACCTCTTGTCTGAAACTTGAGATCTTCTCTGTTTGTCCAAGTGTAGTTGGTTTTGATTAGTGCCTGTACCTGGCACCATCATTTAACTTTTTCAGTGCCCTTACCTAGATTGCAGTGTTTGTACAAGCAGAGTTCAGGTCCTATCTGCCTCTGGGACCCACCCAAAACTTAGCTCAGGATGACCAGGAGCAGAGGATGTGCTGCCTCTCTGTTTACACCTGTCCACAATAGCATTTCATGACAGGGCCCCACAGCAGGGAGCGAGAGATGGGGGTGAACGACTTCATGATGTCCTGCCAATACGGCACTCCTCACCATTGATCTCCCTTCACTTCCGCGGCAGGGTGCCCCACTTTCCAAGCCCCTGCCCAGCTGACCCAGCCTGGAGAACAGCTTCAGGTAAGTACCCACATCTTTACAGTTTTCCGACTTGGAGAAGTGGATCAGGTCATCGTTGTACATGTCCTGGGTATTGAGCAGGTCACTATACTCCTTCTGGCTGAGATCTTCGGGGTTAATCCCATTGGCCCTGAGGAATTCCTGGTATGCCACGCTAAATGCCTGTCCGATGGACTGTGCAATCAGCTGAGCCTGGAACAGCAGCCAGAGAGGAAAGATGGTCAGCAGGGCAGTGCACCTGGTGAGCGGCCTGGCGCACTTCCCACCTGAACAATGGCCCTCCTGGAGTCTGAGGAAACCCTAGACATCACGCCTGCTGGGCCAGTGGTTCTACGTGGGGCTACCAGTGCCCACCAGGGGCAATTTTCAGAAAGACTGGGGATGTTTTTGATTATGACAATGATCATAAGGGAGCTACCGGCATTCAGCAGACAGGAGTCAGAGATGCTGAATATCCTGCCATGCAAAAAACAGCTCGATACAGTGATGAGTCATTCTATACCCTGCACCATCTTCACAGATCCCTCTGGACATTCATGTGCATGCAATACTTGTTTACAGTTACCTGAGTCCAGGATTCAACTCCAATTTATACATAAACACAAAGACTTTGTATGGCTCTAATACACATCGAACATTTCAAGAATAATACCGTCTGAATTGAGAGATGATGTTATTTTGCTTCATTCAGTACTTCACCAGGAGGAAACTTCATGACTTTGGAAAATCAACATCAGCGCTGCTGTGATATCTGTGTTGCCGATAAATCACATCCCTATCAACCTGCACGTGTGCTGTCATGCATGGTGATTATGCATGTGCTTGTAGATACATACATATTATTTGGCCCTCAATTTGAAATGTCAACTGGAAAGTTTATGATATCCCACTGCACACTGCGTTCTCCTACATCCAAGCTTAATCAAGTAGGCATAAGCATCTCACTATCTCATTATGCCTTTCAGAATGGTTGCGCCAGAGCATTTATTAATACATATTGTAATATGGTTTTATTTTAGTTTGCTTTCCACTTATCTTTCCTTTATATTATATTTATGGCCACAATTTGATTATTCTGTGAAAGATTTTTCAATAGGGGAGGTTATATTAGCTATGAATTTCATTTCAGGATAGTAATGGGTCATTAATAAGATATTTATTGTAGAAAGGGAGGGTTGGGTCTAACAGAGTTGAGAACTCTGACTGGTCCAACCCTGCATTTTCCAGTTGAGGAGATGGAGGCCCAGAGACACAAAGGAACCTCTCAAATTCACACAGCTTGCAGGAGGTGGCACTGGCTTCTACACTGGGTTTTGATAGCTTTTCCCTGCATTAATTAAGCAACATTATTAATCCAGACAGCCAAGAGCAACTGAGCACTTCTCATGTGGCTATGCTGCAGTAAATGCTATACAAGGTATATGCTATGAAAAGTAAATGCTATACAAGGACCATCACTGAATCTGCATATCGATTCTATGACAGCTATTAGTATGACTGGTCCACAATCCTTCACTTGGAATGCAAGAGGCTCTGCTTCAGAATTCAAAACTTTTCCAATTTTAGAAAGGTAGCAGGGTGCAAATACTGTACATTGTGCCATAACCCCCTGACGGTCTGGGGAAGTACACAGAGCACAGTAACATTTCTGTGGCAAAATCTGTAAGATTCATGGTAAGCTAGACAAATTCTATAAACGGCCTGCCAGCAGGCAAGGCAAGTTTATCAGCCACCTGACTTCAAAAATCCCTTTTGTTTCTCAGAGCTTTCTAGACTTTGGAACTATGGATCTGTATTAGTGTCCCCACTGGGTAGAACAGGATATGGAGGTTGAGGGGTTAAACTGCACACTTCCTGAGAAGGGGCTGGGGGCTGAATCCAGAGCCCATCCTCCTGCCCACCACACTGGAAGGCTTCTCTGTGAAATTCTGATGGGCAGAAAAAGCCAAACCAGAAAATCTCTAGAGCGGTGTTTTAAAAACACAATTCTAACCTCCACTGCTCTTTCCCCACCTTTCCTAAAAGCACCTTATTAACAGCAAAATGGGAACTTTCCGTGTGGCTGGCTATGGGAAAAGAAATACTTAACTTTTCTCACTGTTAGAATCTGATGACTTTACAAATCACATCAAGAACTACCACCATCTACCTATTGTAAAACTGGAAGGAGTAAGGCATTGCTTTTGGCATCAGAGAGGTACATGCAGACAAACTGAAAAATATATACCTGGGAATGTGACCAGTCGACTTCCTGATCATCATTAGTGGATGCCCCTGGTGAATACACTGGCTACTGAGATTTATGGACCACTAGCCATGTGCCACACATCAGGCTTTAACTGCAATATCTATGAGAGTGCCACAGCAGCCTGGTGAGGGAGGTACTATCGTCCTGCAGAAGAGGAACTTGAGGCTTAGTGGCTGCACAGCTTGGATGAGGAAGGACTCAAGCTCAGCTTGCCCAATTCTGGAGCCAGCACACTCTGGCCCTGCTCTAGTGAAAGCAAAGGGGTAAGATTCTCAGGTCCACTCTTGCCTACCTCTTGCTTCTCCAATCTTTCCTTTCTTCCCTGATGGATCCAAGGGTACCCCAAGGAGAAGAAACCCCTCCCTATGAGCTCCAGCCAGATGGAGGTAGCAGCGGGGCCTACAGGGATCCTCGATCCCTGTAACTTCATCTTTTCGCTGGCCTGCAGGACACAGGAGGCTTAAAAGTCCAAATTTTCACTCTTTTGGAACTTTCTGAGAACCTCCTAAAACTCATTTTCCCCGTTTGCATGTTGGCCTCAGCTTTACAGGAACAGTAGGGAGAATGGCAGGCAGAGGTATTTCAAGCTCTCTGTTCTCCCAGTGACCTTGTCCTGTGCTGCTTTCTAGAGAACAAGACCAATAAAAGATGGTGACAGTAAGTGTTGGCATCTCCTCCTCTCTGTGCCCACAGCCACGACAGCTCTGGTTCCCCGGAGAAAAAAGCAGGATGGCTGCTGACACCTAACTTCCGAGAGGAAGGCAATTTCTGCAGCTAGACGAATGCTGTACTGGAGAAGAAGGGCCTCTTTGAAGGAACCAAGGCTATCAGACGCCATCTTCTCTTCCCAGATCAGGACTCCGTGCTCCATGTGAGAAACAGAGCCTATTCCTCTGTGTCAGGAGGAAAAATGAGCACAGTCAAAAGCAATGGCCCTCAGGGGGTGGGTGAGTTTTCTGCTATTAAAAATTACTATAGGGCTGTGGCCTCCCCTGGGAGGCGGCTTCTGAGGACTGCTGAGGCCCAGGATGGTGCGGGGAGGTAGGGGAGCACCTGGGAGCAGCTTAGTTCAGGCTGCAGTTTGCAGCCTGGTGGCCTCACTAGCAGCTTGGGTTACAACCCTGAAAGTAGGCCAAATGACAGAATGGCTTCTGTTGTAAACAAATTTTCTCTGTTGACTGCATCACCCAGAGAAATGGAGCTTAGGAACCACTGGCTTTGTGCCAGGAAAAGGAGCTGGTTTTCCTAAGGACTGGGGTGGGCAGTGCTCCTGCTGTTTGCTGGGGAGGGACAGGGATGCTAACTTTCCTGTAGCCCAGAGGATGGTCCTGGACCACAAAGAACTGTCCTCCCAAAATGCCCTCATGCTTGGACAGACCTGCTCAAACCCCTACAGGAGGTGCCAAATTCTTCCTACTCTTCACCTCATCCCAAAGTCGCTAATAGCTTGGCCTCCTTTCCCTTCCTCAAAGGGAAACGCAGCTAGCCCCTGCCTCAGGGCCTTCGCATTTGCTCCTTCCTCTTTCTCACTTTATTCAGGTCTCTGCTCCAAGGTCACCTCCTCAAGTGAGGGCTTTGTTGATCACCCTACCTGACATAGCCCCTGTCCCTCCATCCCCTGACCCTGTTTTATTTGTCTGTGGAGCACTCCCCACTACCCAATTTTACATTAAGTATATTTACCTATTGATTTTCTGCCTCCTTTCAGCCCTTGCGATGAGTACCCTGTCTGTTTTACTCAGCCTTATATCTCTAGTGCTGGAACAGTGCCTGACACACAGTACGTGCACAATAAATACATGCATCATGTGTGATGAATTAGACTGAATCAGGTTCTGAGAAGTCAAGAGAACCTAACCCAAAAGGAGATCAAAGGAAGCAACCCTTACATCCTCAGACTCGAAGACGTGGCAGATCATCTTGTACTGCCTTTTCCCATCCTGGGATGGGTGGGACGCTTCCACGTTCTCCTGGGAGTTGGAGCGAGGCATCCGCCGGCGGGCCATCAGCACAACGATGTTCCCAATGTCCGCAATGTAGGAAATGGTCCTCAGAGGGTGGTCCATCATTGTCTCCTGGAGGCAGGAAGAGAGGGCGGGTAAGTCCAGCTCAGCATCTAATGACCTAAGAAAGCGCCTGCCACCTTACAGCCAGTCAAGTATGGTTCGCATGCAGGGTGGGCTCCAGGGCTCACTGCAAAGCCCATGCTGAGGGATCAACGGATACCCACCCAGGCCGGAGGGCATTTCCCTTAGCTAATCAAGAGCAGGAAATGATCTGTGGCAGGTGAAAAGAAATAAGAAATTCCAAACAGTTGAATCTCTTGTGGAGAAGTTTAAAAAAAAAAAAGACAAATCAAAATGGCAGGGCTGTTTCTGTTTTTGTGTGCGTGAATGTAAGAGATTTTAAATAAAATTTCTTAAAAGACAAATTTGTTCACATTAATGAATTCTCTGATTAAAATTTCTGAAAATGCTAAACGTCATCCATGTCTTAGGGGTGTTTTTGGGCTTTAAGAAAGCAATCCCAAACCCCACCCAGCAGCAGGCACTGTGAACACCACCTTCTAGCTCACTGGGGCCCAGAATCTAGGGACAGCTGCTCTACAGACACATGCCTGCTCTACAGACACATGCATCTCTGAGTTACGATGTCACTAAGCTTCACCCTGGGAAAGGTGGAAGCCAGCTGATACCTGTGTGTCGGCGTTCAGCACTTTGATTCTCTGGGTAGAAATGAAGAGATCCACTTCAGTCATTGGCTGAGATTCGCCTTCAGGAGCCTGAGAAGAAAAAATGCACCAAGAGAAAGTTTGACCACACTACCCTGACCCAGATGCAGAAGGAGTAAGGTTAGCTCACACAGAGGCACCACGACACAGTCACCAGAACAGCAATACAGACTCTAGGGTTAAACTGCCAAAGCTGAAGTTACCACACAGAGGATGGACACATGGACAAGAGTTAGCACCTCTAGGTTACAGGGAAAAATGCGGAATCCCCTTTTCTTCTTCCCCTATAGAAGCAGTAACTCACTGCAGTAGATTTCACTCTTTGAACGATGATGGCAAGTGGCCCTCTCTGTAAGGGTTTTGGAGCCCAACAGATTGAAGAAATAGGCCAAAAAGCTCATACCAAAAGACCTTGGGGAAGTCACTTAGAATTTGCCTCTGCTTGAGCTGATAGGAGACAATGTTTATAGCAGCTGCAAATGAAGCCATTTGGATGCAGTTCTGGTAAGAGGGTCTTTATGTTTACATATCACCCAGCAACACAGAAGCAGTCCTGAAGCCACCCCATTAAGAAAGAGCCCCAATGCCTCAACGTCCCAGGAGTAGTAGCTCATAAGCACCTAGAAGCTCCACAACCAAAAAGCGCAGTCTGGTTCATTTAGGGCTTAACTCTGTACATGTGTGGTTATTAGCGAGTTTTCTTTTTTGCATCCAGCAATCTGACAAATCCACAAATCAAGCATAACTATAATCAAACAGACTCAAGTCCCTGCCACATCGATGCTCCTGAATGTTTGGAACTTCCATACTACTATACGATTCATTCAGCGTCTCCAATCTGCTCCCTGTCGTTCCTCTGAAGTGAAATGACTAATGAGCAACAGAAAACGGCCACCTTCGGCAACTGAGTTTTGAGAAACGCTGGCTTATGGGGCGGTTCAAAAAGAAATCTGAACAAAAACTTGCTGGATGCAGAAAACAAAAACACGAAAATATAAAAAGGTAAAACAGAAACGAATGAAAAGAACAGGCATAACACCAAGCTGATGAAGTTGTTTGTACTGCACCTTCTTCCTGCTTTTGGCTAATTTCTGGGCCATCTGCTTAGCATGGAACAAACAGAGACAGGAGAATAGTTAGAAAGAATGTGTAGAGACTCAAAGTCAAAAAGGGAATTGACAAACTAATACTGAATAGTGGCATAAAGCGTTTCTGTGGGAGGAGGACTGGCTTTTAAAAATCCCAGTCTAAAGATAATCAATGTCGTAATTCAGAATTTAGTATGTGGGAAGTGGTGAAGTGAGACAAAGGAAATGTGTTGCAGTGCTTCTTATACTTAATTGCAAGTGATCTTTCCAAATAACCAAGTTTTGGTTCTGTTAATTTTCTTTATTGTACGCCTGGTTTTCTATTTCACTGATTTCAGCATAGATCTTTATTTCCTTCTACTTTCTTTGGGTTTAATTTGCTGACTTCTCAGCTTCCTGAGATAAAAACTTAAATTATGGCTTTTCAAACTTTATTCTGATATGCAAAGCTATGAATCTCCCTCTAAGCATTGCTTTGGATGTATTCCACAGATTTTTGTGTTTCAATTTAATCATTGTTCCGTTAAATTTTTTTTCAAATTTCCACTGCAATTTCTTAGAACCTTGGATTATTTGGAATTGTATTATTAATTTTGATACATTTGGGGATTTTCTAGTTATCTTTTCTTTTCTTTTTTTTTTTTTCTGAGATGGAGTTTTGCTCTTGTTGCCCAGGCTGGAGTGCAATGGCATGATCTTGGCTCACCGCAACCTCTGCCTCCCAGGATCAAGAGATTCTCCTGCCTCAGCCTCCCGAGTAGCTGGGATTATAGGCATGCGCCACCACGCCTGGCTAGTTTTTGTATTTTTTAGTAGAGATGGGGTTTCTCCATGTTGGCCAGCCTGGTCTCAAATGATCTCAGGTGATCCATCTGCCTCAGCCTCCCAAAGTGCTGGGATTACAGGCGCGAGCCACCGCGCCTGGCCTCTAGTTATCTTTTTCTGCTGATTTTGGAATTAATTCCACTGTGGTCAGAGAACACAGTCTGTATGTCAATCTTTTGAAATATGCTGAGGCTTAGCTCTATGGTCCAGCACATGACTGCCTTTGGTGGATGTGTCATGTGCACTTCAAAATATGCATTCCGTAGTTGTTAGGGACAGTGTTCAATCAATGACAATTAGGTCAATTAAGGTGGTTAACAGTATTGTTCAAACCTTCTATATACTTGCTGGTTCTTTAATCTCTTGTTCCATCATTTATTGAGTGTGTTAAAACCTCCAGCTGTTATGTGGATTTGTCTGTGTATCCTGATTCTGTCAATCTTTATCTTACAGCTATGTTATAAGGTGCACACACAGGTAGGATGGTATACCTGCTTGGTAAATTGATCCTTTCATTGTTCTCCCTTTTTATCTCCAGTAATACTTCTTGCCTTAAATTTATGTAATATTAATGTAGTTTACACCTAACTAAAAATGGATGTACCATTCTCCCTTTTGCTCACAATTAAAAGACAGCATAGTTGATAAAAGCAGAGCGTGGGGCTGGATTGTCTAAAACCAAGTCCTGGCTCTGCCACTTACTAGCTGTGCAACTTTGAGGCAAGCCACTGAACATCTCTGTGCCTCAGTTTCTTCATCTGTAAAGTGAAGATAAAAATAGTATCTACCTCACAGGGATATTTTGAGGACAAAATGAATACATGCAAAGCTCTTCAAACAGTGCCTCATACATTCTAAGCACTATATTTGTGTTTGCTGTTATATGATTATAATTGACCTAGGTCATGATGCAATTTCTTGCCTTTTGCTAAGACTTGCTATTTATACAGATCTTGTACAAATAATGGCAAGTCAATGGCCAAACTGCAGACGCTATTGTGGTAATGGGATTGGGGTGGAGGAAGAACTGCTCTCTCATATTCCTGGGTACTCACCTGGTAGAAAAGCTCCTCTGCTCTCAGCAGCACATCTCTGTTTCATTAGTGACTAAAATATGTTGCCTATACTACCTCATTGTAGAGAAACTGGATAAGTCAGCCATCCAGACACCACATAGCGAATCTCTGGTACACCCGGGAAACCAGGGCAACCACACTCCCACACAGATGCCCTGCTGTTCTTACTGGTCGCCATGAGTTCACAGTGAATAGTCTGCTCTGAAAAAGTTTGAAGGTAGCAACTCTGTCATCCTGACTGCTGCACATTACAGTGGGAATAGTTCTGCATCTGAGAAGTGACCCTATGCTGATGTTATGCCATGCCACACCACGAGGATTCCCGTGTGGAACCCCAGAGTCTGGCCAGGGATGTTCGGACTGGCATCAGTTATAATCTGCATAACTGACAGCTGGGAGATCTTTAATGTTTGTTTTTTACTTCTCCTGAAATGATATGGCAGTAATATAGGAATTTCCATTACTTTGGATCCCAAACCCTAACAGCTGTTGGTCAAAATTCTTCAACTCTAGGGAACCGATTTGAAATAACTCTTTCAAAAGGAAATAGGTTCCACCATCACTGGAGTACCCAAATTCTTTTTTTTTTTTTTCTGGGACTGGTGTTGAGGAAGAGGATCCAAAAGGCAAACTGAGTTTCATGAAAGGTATTCTGAAACTTTTTTTTTTTGAGACAGAGTCTCGCTCTATCACCCAGGCTAGAGTGCAGTGGTGCCAACTCAGCTTACTGCAACCTCCGCCTCCCAGGTTCAAGCAATTCTCGTGCCTCAGCCTCCTGAGCAGCTGGGATTACAGGCATGTGCCACCACACCCAGCTAATTTTTGTATTTTTCAGTAGCGACGGGGTTTCACCATGTTGACCAGGCTGATTTCAAACTCCTGACCTCAGGTCATCCACCCGCCTTGGCCTCCCATAGTGCTGGGAGTACAGGCGTGAGCCACTGTGCCTGGCCCGAAACAGTTTTTATGAAGTTAAAAATATTCTGTGGATTTAGAGTAATACCATCTTTAAATCACTCATGATATCCAAGTACCCTGCAACAAATTATAATTTAAAATTTAAATATAACATCACAGAAGATGGGAGAGTTGGAGCCAGAATGAGAAATTAGGGTAGCAGAAAGGGGTCCAAGAGAAACATAAGGCCAGCATGCATTTTAAAGCCAGGAATGACAACATCTATTTAAACCCTCGTGTTTCATGGGATTGATCATGGTTTACCACGTGGCGGGGTGTAGTGCAAAGGACAAACTGCAGCACCCCCCACCCCCTTACTCCATCCACAATGTGTACTGAGTTTCTGCCGCTGTTAACACACTCTAGATTAGTCGTGCCAGGGATGCTCCTGACTGTTCTATCTTTTCTCTCCCCACTGACATTTACTGAGAACTTGCTATGTGCCAGAATCCTTCAAAGTATTTCACATAAATCAGTGTAAAAGCTTACAACACCCCTGTGAGCTACTACCCTGCTAGATGGTAAGCCATGATCAATCCCATGAAACACGAGGTTTAAGTAGATGTTGTCATTTCTGCCTATATTATGTTATCCTCATTTTTCAGAAGAGGGAAATGTGGCACAGAGAGGCTAATTAACTTGCCCCAGGTCACACAGCTGTGAAGTGGCAGAATAGAGATTCAAACTCTGGCAATCTCACTCCATTGTAAACCCCTAGTTGTGCAACTGGGGCAAGCATGTCATCTGTAAACTTCTCCATTTGTCTATACCATGGGGTTAACAACACCTACCTCACAATGTTCTCTACCCCATCCATTTTGAGGAGTAAATGAGATTGAGATAATGCATGTGAAGGGCCTAATACTTTACTGATCATAGATTTCTTCAACTAAGCTGGGAAATGCTACAACTTAGGCAAAGCTATAATGATAGACATTTTACTTCTACAATGAAATCATAATTTTGAGAAAATCATAAAAGAATGAAAAAAATCTGATCTTTGGGACAGGCTAGTTAAGATGAATATATGAATATTTGATAATGAATGCAGCTTGCCAAAATGCATGGACCACAAGATACCTATACACCATTTGTAATCTAATCTAATTGCATTAGCTTCACAAATACAGGAAGAATGGAGACACAAACACCACACTCTGGGTGGATGGACATGAAGCAGTCTCTGTGGTTCAGGTAGGGCTCAGCAGGCCACCCTATCTTCTGGTTGAAGAGCAGAGAATGAAGTGGGAATGAGAGTGGAAGGCAAGGTGGAGATGCAGTGGAGAACAAGGAAGACAAATGAGCTCATTGTGCTGGCTTCCAGTCTGGCTTTCTCTAGAAAGGGGTAGGCATGAGTCCCACGTTGTTAGGGGAGAGATGTGTTTCTATCTACGGCACATTAAAGACTGACAGCACATAGGACAAAGCTCTCTCTAGAAGTTTCTCCCAAAACATGTTCCAGAGAATACTACCAATGACAGGTATCTATCACATGGTAACAATGTATTCTGTGCTCAAATAAGTATGGGAGCTGCTAGTTAAAGTGAATGAAATCTTCTTAGTGCAGGACTTCTCAGAGCCTTGAAGAGGAAGACACCTGTAGCAAATGTCCGAAAAGGAGGTCTATTTTCTTGAGCTTATTTGCCAGTGGAACTCTATTAATGACAAGCACTTAGCCTGACTAGAATGCTACAGGGCACAGTGGGAGGAAAGATGCTTCACACACTGGCGGGTCCACCTTTCTCTAAGGCAGTGGTTCCCAAACGCTGGTGCAGAGCAGAATCTCCTGGAGGGTTTGTTAAAACACAGACTCCTGGGTGCCACCTTCTGAGTTTCTGACTCAGTAGGTTTGGGGTTGGGCCTGAAAACCTGTACTTCTAAGAAGTTTGTAGGCAATGCTGATGCTACTGGTCCAGGGATCATGCTTTGAGAACCAGGGCTCTAATGCAATCCCCTAAGGTATATGGGGGCTCTCTGGAAGGATATTACTTCTCAAAAATGATGACCAACAAAGGCAGAATGAACACATTAGGGAGGGACCAAAGACCAAAACAAAACAAAAAAATGTTTAATGACAGATGTCTTCTAATTCTGCTATTGTGCTCAGATATGTCATCTCTTAAATTGTGGTAGATGGAAAAGCCTTTAAATTTCAGAGCCCTCAGCTTACCTTGTATTTTTGTTACCTAACATTCTTTTTGGCTTGTTTTTACTGCAAGTTTCTCAAGCTCAAGAACTGTGTATTGGTTAAATTTATTCCTAAAGGGCCTATCACAGGAGTCTGCACAGCAACAGTTGGCATTTGGGGCCAAATTCCTTTGTTTCTTTTCACATTAAGTAGAAAATACCTGGCCAAACCGCAGCTCCAAATTCTCTCTCCATGTGGCAAAGGAATCTTGTAAATTTTTTGTTAAATTAAGAAAACAGTAATTTTCAAAACCCCAAGTCCAAATCCAATAAGCAATGTTCAATTTTAGTATACAGTTGGTACTACATGAGTGGCGGACACCACAATCGACAAATGGAAGAGAAATTAAAGACTACTTTGAAATGGAAACCTAAGCTTCAAGGTCAGCGTCTGTTCAGAGATAAAGCACCACGAATAACAGGGCGCGTGGTGAGCAGTTCTCATTCACATCCAGTCACATCCATCTGGTCAAACAAACAATGTAGGCAGAGGAAGAGAGGGACAAAACGGGGGTCCCTGCAGGGAGTGAGGGAAGAAGGAGGAATCAGAAAACAAAGGAGGAAACTACCCCCACCTTTGTTTAGGTGAAAGTGCCAAGCCAGAAATTACTAATCAGATTGGGGTTAAGGACATTGCTAAATGGATTGCAAAATAAATCCACAGAGCTTTTCTTTCTCCTTCCTTCCTGGACGGACGCTATAAAGTCTGCAGCTTTGCTGTGCTCTACGTCCTTTCTGTCAAGGTGGCCTAGAATAACTTGTCCTGAAAGGTCAGTCTCTCTTTAGGAAACAGCGTGGCACCATCTTCCTTACAGAGCAGTGTCTCCCAAGCACATGTGGGCACCTGGTGCAAGCTCCTTCCACTTGAGCCCAGCCCAGCCTGCTCAGGATCAGCACTCTTTGCCCCCAGCTTCCCTTTGCATTGATGAAGTCCGTGTACGCTCCCTGACACAGTCACTTTTTGGAGAGTGCTGACTTAAACAGGCATCTCCATTTACACTTGGAAAAGGCTTCTAGCTGGATATAACGTCAACCAATCTGATAAGCATTTTAATGGATGTAAAAGGAACATGAAACAGAAAATATTTAATGACAGGCAACAGTTCCTTCCAATGCATAGATGCACATTGTAAAATGATACTTATAAGTTATAAATGAAATGTAACCATTTAATTTTACCACTCTATAATGAATTCCTCACGCCAGAGTAATTTGCTTGTAAAAATAAATCTATGTTTTCCAAATGCCTATTCTGCTCTAGGCAGGTCTAAAATGTATTTATAATCAGAAAGCCTCTATCTTGGTTGTTCTGATCAACAGAGCCATCTAATTTTTGATTCAAATGAACTGTGGAACTTCGGGATACCAATCCTTTGGAAGCTTTGAAGTAAAATCTCTGATTTCTTATGAGGCAGCTGGACTTTAAAGAAGGAATAACAACTCTATAGGACACCACTTTGGAAATAAGAAAATGTAATTCACAATATAATTGGCACTGACGAGCTTTGGTACAGGGATGCTGTGTACCCCGAACATTGCTTTACGTTCAAGTGATGTGCCCCGTGCCCGCTTTTTCCCTGTAAGGCCATCTCAGCACTACCTAAGTGCCATAAGGGGACTGGAAAGGCATAAATGTTCTGTCTGTAGGAGTCCAAAGCTATCAGAGGGCTAATAAACAAGGTGTCCCAAATGAAACCTGAACCTTAAAATGTTTGAAGCCTTGATGGATAGAACCTAGAAAAAACTAACCTCAAGGCAACGTGCAGTTTTCAACCTCAGAAGTCTTCAGTACTCCTTTGGGGGCAGACTGCTGCTTTATTCTGGAAGATACGCCTGAACGGGCTCTGGGTAGCATTCCTTGATAGGGGCTCTTTGGCATTTTGGTAGAGATAAAATCTTTGTTTTGTGGCTCTGCCCTGGATGTTATAGGGTCTTGAGCACACCTGGCTCTGGCCCAGAAAATGCCCCCAGTCATGGTGACAAGCAGAGGTGCCCCCACTCATTTCCAAACACATCTTATGAAGGCAGTCCCTGTCTATCAGAGACCCCAAGTGAGGCACACCAGGCTTTTGTGCTTCCACCAAACCTGGGGAAGCTAACAGCACCATTCACCTGGAAGCCCAGGTGGCATATCTGGTACCCATGGGGCACGTGGAGTCAGAACTATGTCTCTATGTCTCTTTGATTTAAAGTTCTCTGCTTTATACAAAATAGGACGTGACTTTGCCTGAGAAGCAGCTTGCTCTCTCTGAGAGGTTTGTGGGTTGTTGTTTTGAATGCTGTGCCTGGAAGACAACTAAATTAAGATGGAGAAGACCTTGGGGAGGCTTGCTGGCACAATGTCACTACTTCGTGGAAACAGGAAGACAGTGAAAGGGAACTAGGCCAAGCTTGGATGGGCAGCTCCCCAAGAACATGGTGATGTTCTATCCGTAGCATTGTTTAGTCTCAAAGTCCCAAAAGGTATGAAGGTCAGACTGTCTCCACGGAGTTGTCCTGTTGGGAGCCATGGGGCAAGACACATCTCTTTGGGTAGGGGGTGGGGCTTCCCCTAAAAGAACTGGACCTTCCCACTGTCCATCATTCTGGGAGAGGCTAATTTTAGAAGAAGACAAACACCACAGAAATGGGCCTTATGGCAGCAGGGCCTCTGAGGCACAGGCAAGGTTTGTGTGCCCCAGATGAAGTGGCTGAGTGGATCCCTGACACACGGAAGGAACTAAAAGGTCCTGTCAGTAATCCTGACACTAGGTCTGGCCTAGCAGGGTTGTGACAACAGTCACTCTTGAGGCAGTTGCAAATCACTCCTCCCTGGTTTATAAAAACATCGTAGTCATGTCAAAAGTTACGGCATGGGCTTTACTGTCCTAGGAGGAGTTAAGAGAAGGGCCAGCTCTGAGCTTGGGGGAGAAGCATTTTCTCCAAGTACAGAGAGGTGGTCAGATCAGTGGGTGACACACAGAGGCCCAGCAGCAGGAGCGGCAGTGAGCAGCCTGAGGAGGAAGCCATGAGAGGGACGTGGGGCCATTCACACAGCATCCTGGGAACTGCAGGATAACTGGACAGCTGAGGGTTCAGGCGCATCATATTTACGGTGTTGGTGATGGTATGAGCTATTCACCACATGGCAGAGTCTGGACACGTGACTAACGTAAGAATCAGCTTGGGCATGAGGCCCAAACCAACTGCCTCTCCTCTGCAAGCACCTCTTGGAATTGTTGGTCACTTACTGTTCCTTTCTACCTCTCAGGCAGAAGGCAGTGGTCAGAGGTGTTCGCATCTGCAGGCTTCCCCTGCACTCTGGTGGCACTCGGCCTCTGACACTGTCCTCTCCTTGGGCACACCCCACACACTCCCTGGCTTGCTTTGTCATTCCCTCATTCATACTGCTGAGCTTGAGAACAAGGATCTCACTTTATCAGCTACTGTTTTTCCTCCCTGCCAAGACCCTGCACAGCTCTTCATGCCTAAGTGCTCAAGGAATAATTTTTTCTTTGATTGCGAGATCAAGGATTCTCAGTTACTGCGGTCTACCTGTCCCTCTTTCTCCTTCCACGTTACCACACAAACACCAGGGTGCAACCTGGGAGTGTGTGAGAGAGAAGGTATGAAATATGGAATGGCTCCTTGAGGGAAGAATCCATTTTGACCAGTTGAAACTGGATAAAACAGACTCTTACAAGTTCTAACCTATTCCAACTTGCTGGAAATACCTGGTCCTGGACTTCTACCATGATGCTGTCCCTAGGGCTCTAGGTGACAGTGGCCTCAAGGCTCGGGGAGGCTGCCCAGTGGTTCCAGGTGCTGGTGGCACAATGGCATGTGGATGACATAAACACACCTTAAGTGTTCCTGGAGTCCTGGTTTGCCCATGATTCTAGGTAGTTTTGGTATCGTGGTGGAGATTCTAGAGCTCTGTGTTGCTGCATTTATTCATGGGAATAAACCAGTTCTGGATGGTTCAAACTAGTTGTGAATGACTTAAACCAGATAAGAGTGGTTCCTCCTGGATCAAACAGGCTCGTTCCTTTTATGTCTTGATTAATGAGATTCAAACATGTTATGATTGGCTCAAACTAGTTTAAACTGGATTAGCCTTGCACTGACCTTAGACTAGCCAGGTTAGATTTGATCAAAGGGTTCATTTTCCTTGAAGCAAGCAAGTTCAATCTAGCTTGAACAGGATGGGCTGGTTCAAAAGCAATGCCACCTAGTTTAAACCAACTCTGTAACATGAATGTTTGCCACTGACCTCCAGCTGTCAGTGGAAATCCAGTGGTACATGTCTTGCACTTGAGACATAATACTCAAAACGGCATCCTTCCTCATTACACCAACTTTTCAAAGGTTGTGATCATGAGCACTTCTTCTCAAGACTGGCCATTTATAACAACCTAAATAGATCATGTTTGTATATAAAGACTCCAGTAGATTTTGGAAATTTTTGTTTTGTTAGCAGGCACATGGATAAGCACTGCCTGTGTGATGTCATCTCAAACCACTCTCCTCTAAACTATATGTGGAGTTGTGGCCAGTGTTGTAGACTGCTCCAGTGCCTACACCAGCCCCCTGTCCCTGTTGGAGCACCCAGATGTCCTCACCTTGATCCTGCTTACGGCTTCCTGGGCCTGCATCATGCGCACGTTTTTGGAAGGAGTTTTGTCTGAGAGCAGCTGAGTGGAGCCAAGGTAATTGGCGGCAAAAATGATTCCATCGATCAAGTCTTCGGGGTCGCAGGGTCCCGGAACTGTAACACATAGAGCCACAGTGAGGAAGCCATCCTGGGGTGGGGCCTGCCAACCCCCTCAATGGCACATCTCCCCTCTCCCATGCCTCACTGCTGGCACAGGTGAGGCAGAGCCAACCTGCTGGTCTGAGGCATCTCTCTGTGTCTATCTGCACCCACACCTCATTTTCAAATAGAAGGCACAGTTTCTAAAATATTTTGCTTCTCTAAAACCATTTACTATGGAAAGTGATGCAAATATTTACTTAAACATGGAACATAAAATTCAGCAATAAAGGATACTGTTTCTCCTGTTAGACTGTGAGCTCTTAGGGGACAAGGACCATGTGACATTCACCTCTGACTCTCTTGTCTTACTGTCACCCAGGTGGTATCAACTAGATATTTGCTGGATAAATGCTTAAGTAACTAGATGGCTGTCTTTTTAGAAAAGCTTTTTACAGCAATTCCTATTACTTGCCCCCCCCCATTCATATCTCTTCCTCCATTTAATCCATAATGGAAGAAACAAATTTATAGATCAGAAAAATAGGATATCTGTTTCAGAATGTCTGGATTCCTGTAATGGCTTCTGACCTCAATTGTGCAAGACAGATAATGTGACCTCAAAGCCACAGTCCCATGCTGTCAATCTTGTTCACTTACAGGTTATAATGTTCTTGGCCTGTGCCCACACATAGACAGATTCCAAGGAAAATCAAATTTTCTGTTCTATTTTACCAGCCTTTTAAGTCAAACCTGTTTTAAATATTTTAATTGGGGGCACCTGTTTCTAACCACAATTACTTGTAAACCCTAACTCGAAATTAAAACGTGTCTGTGATTAATATATAACTGTATAACAGTCTACTTAAAAAGGCATTTTAATCTGCAATTGAAACATACGTATTTTATTTTCTTTCTTTTTTTTTTTTGAGACAGGGTCTCACTCTCTCGCTAAGGCTGGAGTACAGTGGTGTGATCTCGGCTCACTGCAACCTCTGCCTCCCAGGTTCAAGGGATCCTCCCACCTCAGCCTCCCAAGTGGCTGAAACTACAGGCACTACCATGCCCAACTAATTTTTGTAGTTTTTGTAGAGATGGGGTTTTGCCATGTTGCCCAGGCTGGTCTTGGACTCCTGGGCTCAAGCAATTTGCCCGCCTCAGCCTCCCAAAGTGCTGAGATTACAGGCATGAACCACCATGCCTAGCCTTGTGTATTTTATTTGACTTGACTGGTACATCTGCAGAGACTAAAATATACATTTTAACCCACTGTTAAAACCTCAGGGTCTTAAATTAGGTAACTTGTAATGGAAACAATTTGCTTTTTCCTCTTGGAAGGCTAATCTGAAATGCTTTTTATTTTTATCCTTAAACATCAAGCTCATCTTGAGTTTACACAGCTGCTTCCTGTGCTGAACTACTTATCAGAGTAAAGATGTAAAATAATCTACTCATTTTTCTAAAACTAAGGTGGTGCTTGAAACAGAGAAATTAAAAGTGTTTTAGGAAAGGCTTTCACAAAGCATCTATGTAGTAATTAAATAAGGAAGCCTGTTATTTGTCTTATTCTCCATTTTTATAAGCAAGACTTTGAAGCTAACACTGTGAGTGGTACACAGACAAATCTGCCTCCACTCCACACCAGTAATTCACACTCTACTCAACAGCCACAGGGGCCCGCTCTGAATCTTTTATAGATGTGAGATGGATTCGGGCTATATATGATATACAGTTTCAGTTGTATAGCAGGGAAGCATACAAAATAATATATGAACAGGTCTGAATCCACATTACACTTTATATAAAGTAAAAGATTGTCAGTTCTTCTATGATAAGTTCCTGGTGATGCATTTATAGTGTTATGGAAACATAATCATTATTGCCAACCAGATATGAAGAAGAACGATCTCATCTGGGATATGAACTTTTAAAAGTCTTCCATCTATTTTTTAAAAATCAATGTTAAAAGAAAACAAAAATTAACTACCTTCTCTACGGGACTTCTAACATCATATATTCTCTGATTTGGCGCTATTCACTGAGAAGGTCCCTTTTTGACTACAGTAAGTGTGGGTATGGGGATATGTTTAAAAGCAATCCAAATTATATTTAAATGACTGTAGAAATGCCAAGCATCCAAGACACACAAATATCAGACCTAAACACCTTTTGAGATATGGTCTTATGTCATTTATCCTTTCAGGAAATTGAATATAATTGAATATCACTGTCATCGCATCACACCCAGAAAAATAAAAGCCCCAATTTCATAAGTTCACTTTGAGCTCAGGGATAGTATATTCTTACAAAGTTAAAAAAAATTAAACCCTTAATGATCCTATGTCAGAGAATTGCAGGTTTTCTTTTGGCCTTTCGGAACATGGTTTCCCTTTAGTGCTGCCTTCGGATTGCTCTGTGGATGAGGGAGCACACATGTGACATCCTCATACTCAGGCTAATGCTGAGCCTGAAAAATCCCTAGGCCTGGGGGATGAATATGAAGACGGGAGCTTTCAAACTTCAGAAAACTTCCCAGAATGCTCTCACAGAATTTCAGGGCCTCACAAAAATGATGCAAATAATTTACGATGATTCAAGAGAGAAACCTAAGTAACTAAACCAAAACTGTGAGCTTGTCCTGGGCTTTGAGCCCAAGGGTTCATGAAGGTTTATGAGCCCTGGTAACCCTTTCCCAGGCAGTGGAACACAATGACTGTTTACGCACAGGATCCAAAGTCCAGACACACCCTCAGAGAGATGTCTGGGCGTTCTCTGGCCTCCAGAAAAGCCTCCTTCAAGGAAATGGCGATGCACCCAGGTGGACCCTCAGCATCACCTCTAGCCAGAGAGTGAGTGCCTCTTTGTGAATGAGAAATGATGCCTGATTTGGTGCCCCATTTGGATGGTACAGTCTCCAGCTGGAGTGCAGAGCTTGGCGGAACTTTGGCCCCACCTGGCCTTAGAGTAGGTGCCCTTGTGCAGTGAGTAACCTGCACAACCATGTGTGGCAGCCCCACAAAGACACCGGTTTCCAGAGAGAAGTATGGTGCCAGCCTGCCAATTCATAGCCTGGGTCTGCACTGCCAACTGTGGGATCTTGGGCAAGTTACCCTCTTGATGCCTCAGTTGTCTCATTATAACATGGGGATAATAATAAAACTCACTTCACAGGATTGAAGTGAGGATTCAATTAGTTATTACATGGGAGGTGCTTAGAACAGAACCTGGCAGAGTAAGCATGCAGTAACTGTTACTATTACTAGCTCATCCACGTAATAGATGAAAATTGCTGGGAAGGTTTTTCTTATTAAAAAAGACCAAAATTTCTGCCTTAGTTAATGTTCATTCCCACTTGAATTTTTCTTTTTGAATGTATGAAGTGCACAGAGACAGAATAAGGAGACTTGGGTTTTGGATCCAGTGTGACCACTGCTAAGCTGCATGACACTGGGTAAAGCCCACAGCTTCGACTCCAATTTCAGAGTCCTCATCCACATAATGAGCAAAGACGTGAGGAGGATTTCTGAGAGGCTCCCAGCTATCATTCTTTGAGTCTAAGATCCTAAGACTGCTAACATTGTGAATAAGTGACTTTGTGGCCTTTCTTCCCTTCCATTGTCTTATATCTCAGTGCTTCATATGCCCCAATGCTAAAAGATTCATGAATGACTCAGTGCTCAGTATTTTCTTTTCAGCTCTTACCTTCAACGTAGGTTGGGAATGAAGCCAAGCTTTTTCTTGACTGTAATAAAGACAAAGAGGTTTCAAAAAGAGCAAAGCATAATGAAATATGAATTAACACAATCATCCATGCAACATGAAAAATAAATACATAATCAGTGGCAGTTACCAATTATTGATCATTTTTAGTTAGAGAAAGTAAAGTGCAGATAAACATGCATTTATTAGTAAAGGTTACCTAAAACCCAGAATAGTCCATTCATATTTTAGATAATCTAGAAATCTTACATTTCACAATCAGAGAGGTATTTGCCAACTAAAAAACAATCCCACAGACAAGTCTCTAACAACAATAAAAAGGGCACAATTTGTATTCTTAAGGATCTGCATTTCCATGTGAAAAACTGATTAGTGAAAGCACCAATGCTATGATTATAGCTGAAATTAAGAATTCTCTCAGAGAAATTTATTTTACTCTTTGCCACAGTGATCTCTCACTGTGCTAAAAATGTGTGCTAGAGTTTTTAAAAATCTCTTCATCTCCTACTGATTTATTTTAGTTGAAAAACTCCATTATATAAATCATTATTGTGTGTTATCTGAATAAGAACACAACAAAGGAGTAAATTAAAAACCCTGGAATTTCTTTTGCACCTCAGAGCAAAGGTCAGCGTTCTCACAGCACTGTTGGAAGCAGAGATGATGAGCTAGACACCTTTTAGAGCCTGACTAGATGGCAGCTTAACTGCCTGCTATCAGAGGAGCAAAACTCACCATACGTTCCTTTCAGAAGCAGATGTCCTAGATGTAACACTGACTGAGATAAGAGAAAAAAATTCACCCCTGCTTCCACCAGTAGTAGAATTTGTAGCTAGTGTGTCTGGACCAGGGTGATACAAGCATCACAGGAGAGTGGAGAGCTAGTGTTAAAGACAAGTCCCTAAAATGGGCAGAAGGTAAGGTTTGCATGGCCAAGAATTCCATTGCTGAGAACCTACCCGGTTCTTAGGTGATTATTTAAATGCATGACTTTAAGAGGAAAGATATCTGGCACTGAATAGCTGTTGGATAGGCTGACCTGCATAGAGGGAAGACTCTGGGGTGCCTGGCAGGCTGGATGAGGAAAGCGCCCTGGGTGAGTGTTGGGATGTCATGGGGAGCAACTCCCTAACCTAGCACTTGACACAGTGCTCTTTCCTTGGAGGATGGGAATGGCAAAGGGATGATAACTTGGTTAATACTTGGACAACAGTCTAAAAATAGTAGTTTTAATTGTTTTGTGAAAAATTGGGGCAGTTGAAGAAACCTAGTTGTAAGACTCCAGCTCAATTCAGGATAATGACAATTCAACACTAATCACACAATAATACATTGTACAGGGCAGCTTTTCAGTAAACCTGCTGCATGTGTGCTCACTGGGATGAAATGGTTCTGCACACCAAAGTGGGTGGGTTTCTAGTGCATCAGGAATGAAAAGTTACTGGCTAGTAATGCATTTATGAGAAAATGCACACCAAATAAAAGCCAGGATATGTGGATAGGGGGAAAGAGAACTCCAGTTTCAGCAGTGCTTTACGTTAATTTTATTTTCCACTTACCTAAGTGAGAAGATAGGCCCAGTTGAGAGCCAACAGCCAAATCTGTCTAATTCAGGATGGTTTAAAGAAAAGAAAAAAACCCTCATAACTTCATGGTATGCAGATGGAAGCTAGCATCTTCATAGGGGCCTAAAACTTTTAAGTTATTATTTCCCAACCATTTCCCTACCCTTGTCCCAAGTAACTATAGCCTGGGGTAATGAGAGTTTGTTTAATCAGAATTGCTTAGCCTCCAGGTATATCTAAGAAGTCAATTCACATTTTCTTGCTCTATTTTGATACTTTTCTGAATGCTAGACAGTGTCCAGATTTTAGCAGAAGCTACAAAAGAATTACTTTGGTCTATAGCTCTAAAAGCTGCAGTTTTATTAAGAGCTACACCAACATGGCACATGTATACGTATGTAACTAACCTGCATGTTGTGCACATGTACCCTAAAACTTGAAGTATAATTAAAAAAATTAAAAAAAAGATAAGTTTGAAAAAAATAATTTGGCAAAATAAAGTTTACCATCTTTAAAAAAAAAGCTGCAACAGAGGGCATTTGGTACATTCACTTATTCTCTATGCATGAGCTCATGACTAGCTTTCTTAGTCTCTGGGGTAGTAAATTTTTTTAAAAAGAGTTTTGTGAAATGAAAGAATCTCTAATTATTACACACAAATAGGATTTTCATCATCATTTCTAAGGATATATAGAAACATGAGCCAAGTCTTGTAGGAACTGAGAAACTAACAAATTTGCCTTATTATATCTAATGCATAATCAAATGCTGAATATTTAGATGTCTGGTTAGCCCTTTATTTCACATGTGGACTGAGATGAACATCAGTTGATCCTTAACTTTCAAGAATAAATAAATAAAGTTGCATTTAAAAAGCTAAAGGCTAAGATCTTTGGGGTTTGGGTTTGGGGGTCACACAAATCGACTCGTGCAGAACTTGGAGGCACAATTGGACAACTGGAACAATGACAGACAAGGTACCTTGTCCATGTAGTCTGTGACCTGCAAACACTTTCTACTCCAGCAGTGGCAGATCTTGGCAGTTAAGAGCACGGGTTCCCATGAGTTCTGGATTTGAATCCTGGCTGACCACTTGTGAGCTCTACAATCTCAGGTAAGTTATTCAACCTCTTAGCTTTTTCAACCAGCAAATGAGGACAGTGATACCTACCTCACAGAATTATTTTAAGAATTAAATGAGACACTATCTGTGATTTTTCTCAGCCCAGTTCCTGGAACATTGTCAATGCTCAAGAAACGATAGTGCTCATGACTGTTATCATCAGGGCACCTGTCCTTCTTTTCTTCTTACTATTTGTTCTCACCCAACCATGTGATATAAGAATGAAGCAAACTGTGGAACGGTGGGAACAGCAGAAACTGTGCCCTTGTCACTTGTGCTCCCAATGGCCAAGTGTCTGAGGCTCAAGACCAGAGGAGACCAAAGTATATTTCTAGTCTAAATTCTAATGTTGGTGTCATTTCAGAGAAGGTCTATGTTTGTTTGTTTGGTTTAATATGAACAGATTAATAAAAAATACTTTTCCTTTGTGTAAATATTTAATGGCAAATATATGGTATTCAAGGGTGCCTTAAGGGTAAATTTTAACTAAGACTCCCTTTAAAAGCGATCTGCCACTCAGTTTAAACAGAGATTTCTTTTTCATTGCATTTAACATAAAATTATCAGCAAAATGAGGGAAAAGGAAACCATCGTTCATCATGTGGTTTACCTCTTTAACACATCTCCTCAGTGTTGATGAGAGAGCAGCTATATTTAGAGTGAGCTGAGCCCACACACAGATTATGGCGCAGACCAACATTTACCTGATGTTGGCTCATTAGCAGGTGTGGGTGGCAGTTCACTAGGTGTAAAAGGACCCTGGGTACGGGGGAAGGCAGTGTCTCCCCTCTGGGGCTGCCCTTTCTCAGACCCAGACACCTCAATGGGAGAAAGCAGCATCTTCTCACTGAAATGCTCCACATAAGCAAGGCGACCACAGAATTTGTTGTCCAAAAGGGATACTTTAGAGCTGCACTGTCTGGCAGTCTGCAGCCACACGTGGCTATTTAAGTTAATTAAAATGGGATAAAATGAAAACTTCAGTTCCTCAGTTACACTGGCCACATTTCCAGGGTTTGACAGGCACATGAGGCTAATGACTACCATAGTGGACAGAGCAGAAGTGGAACATTTCCAGCACCGTGGAAAGTTCTCGCAGGCGGCACTGCACCAGCAAGAGAGAAGGGCGCTCATAAGATGGGCTGCCTGGACAACAGGTGTGAACTGGAACCACACCCTAGGTAAACTGGGAATGTATGGCCACTCTATTCTTACGAAAGATATCTCATTTGGGCCTGAAATAAAGGGTATTTAAGAAACTAACACATTTCCCAAAGCACACAGCAACTGCAAGCCCATGGCATCAGCAGGCATGTAACGCCAGGAGGAAAGATGCTGTACGTCGAGTTTTTGGTGTCTGAGGTCAAGTGCTGTTCAACAGAATTTCCTGCAGTGATGCAAATGCTCTGTAATCCACCCTGTCCGAGCACTTGAAATGTGGCTACTGTGCTTGAGGAAATAAACTTTTCATTTTATTCATTAATTAGGCACCTGCAGCCAGTGGCTATCAAACTGGATGACATGGCTTTAACAGGTGAACTGCACACTGGAGAGGAGAAATCAGGATTGTTCTCACCAGGGTAATGTGGGTCAGGAGCGCTGTAGGATGCTGTATTAGGAAGCACAGAACAGTATTAGAGTAAAGCAAAATGGCCCAATGGCTTTGGTAACAAAACAGCACCCTACCTCTTTATTAGTGGACGCTTCCACAGGGTCACTGGGGTGAAGAGATGTGCTTGATGACTCTGCACCCAAGGGGGAGGAGCTGCCAGGAGACGGAGACTAGAACACAGCAAGAGGAAACACAGTGAGAACTTGAGAGACTCGGCAGACACTTGGCTGGGGGAAAGGGGCCGGGAGAGAGAAGCAAAGCAGAACACAATCGAACAGACACTGCAGTGGGGAGAAAACCTCTTAAAAAGGAGCTGCCAACTGTACATAAAACACTTGTGGTTTTCAAGCTTTCTTTTTCAAGTCCTGCCATGCTTTCAAAGGAGCTTTCATAGCTATGGGCCGTTTTTCCCCTTAGGCCAAATGTTGAAAGAAAATACAGAAAAGGTTGAAATTAAAAAATCCTAAATGAATTGAGCTAAGGATATTACACAAACATGTTTAAAACATTTTTTTCTTACTGATGAAGCCAAATATTTAGGGTACCGAATGTCTTATAAAATTGCCTGCCCCAAATGAAAAAGTAAAAATTAAAACACACATTTTTAAAGAGGTAGCTGGGCCTGATTTTGATGGCTAGAAACCATACCACCTGTATTTTCCTAGTCAATTCAGATTTCAAATATTTTGTCTGATTTAGTCTACAGGCTATTGAAAATTCAGAGACATTTCAGCATTTTAACATCCAAACACTACCCTGGATGCTCTTAGAACAGTTCAAAAATCCTTTGTCAAACGGTGTATCGGAAAATAAGGCTTAGAAAAATAGGCTCAGGGAGAATGGCCTGGTTGGGTGTGGTATTGCCTGGGCTGATGGGACCCCAGCTCCCTGTGCAGGCAGGCCCTGCTAGACGTGTATAGGAAGCTCCCAGGTCAGTGTACACAGAAGGTGCTCCATAAACATCTTCTGAATGGATGGGCAAATAAAACAAGCAAGCACAGGGATGGGACTGATACAGACCCGGAAAACACTCCCCAGCCTATAGCCAAACATTGTTGTGTGCTTCTGAAATCTTGGGAGATGAAAGGAATCCTCAGGTGAGCCACAGAGATGCTTAAGAATTC
>NW_003315931.1:0-60032 GCF_000001405.40 Homo sapiens
TTACTGCAGCCTGTGAAGGCCAGAGCAAGAGGCGTGGCCGTGGAAAGTGCAGGAAGTATGGCTATGGAGAGTGCTGGGGTGTGGCTGTGGTGGGTGCAGGAAGCGTGGCTGTGGAGCGGGTGTGGTTATGGACGGAGTGTGGCTGTGGAGGGGGTGTGACTGTGGAGGGTGCTGAGTGTGGCTGTGGTGGGTGCTGGGGGTGTGGCTGTGGTAGGGGAGGTGTGGCTATTGGATAGTCACAGCTGTGGTGGGTGCAGGGGGCAAGGCTGTGGTGTAGGAAGTGTAGTGTGGCTATTGAATGGGGTGTATAGCAGTGGTGAATACAGGAGGCATGGCCTTGGTGGGTACAGGAGGCATGGCTATAACACAGGAGGCATGGCCTTGGTGGGTGCAGGAAGCATAGCTGTGATGCAAGAAGCATGGCCTTGGTGAGTGCTGGAGTATGTTCTCTAAAGACACTGTGAACACTATTAGCCCATACTGAACCACTGCTCCTGGAGAAATACAGGGTTAGCTTCCACGCCTCTGATCACTACATTTTTGTCATCCAACCAATACATATTTTTGTTTTATGTGTTTTTATCTACAGACACCTTGTTTAATATACGTTTCTTACCAATAGTTAACTGTATGTATTATTCTTTATAATAAAACTCAAGCTGGGAAGAGTTTTGCGTTTTCCTGACCTTGGGTAATGTGACTAAAAATTTATTTGGCTGTCAGCCTCACAACAATGCTGTCCACTAAACTTTTTTTTTTTTAGATGGAGTCTCGCTCTGTCGCTCAGGCTGGGGTGCAGTGGTGCAATCTTGGCTCACTGCAACCTCCACCTCCCGGGTTCAAGAGATTCTCCTGCCTCAGCCTCTTGAGTAGCTGGGATTACGCGCACCAACACGCCCGGCTAATTTTTGTATTTTTAGTAGAGATGAGGTTTCACCATGTTGGTCAGGCTGGTCGCGAACTCCTGACGTCGTGATCCGCCTGCCTCAGCCTCCCAAAGTGCTGGGATTACAGGCGAGCCACCGCGCCTGGCCAGTCCACCAAACTTTTAATGTCATCTCATGAATCCACAAATTTCACTGGTTTTTTTTCTTCTTCTTGTTTTTCCATAACTTTACCAGGTACTATAGATGTTACTTGGGCACTTTTCAGAGTGGCCTCACATCTGCGTCAATGACTTTCCTCTTCCTCCTTCTGGATGTAACATATTGTTGACTCATTGCTGTTGAACTTACTGTCAACAGCACTGTAACTCATGCCTGAGCCAAGCTTGTCTAACAGGTATATTTTCTCTGTAAAGCACATCACAGCCTTTCTGCACTTAGGAACATTAGACAGCACTTCAGCAGTACACTTGGGGGCCATTTTAAACAATTAAATCACTGATAGGCTCCGCTCCGCTCAGGGCGGCCCCAGACACGGGTTTCCCATGGCAGCACCACGGCACGCCCGGCGCACCTGCTGCCCCGAACCCCTGGCTCCAGGGGGCAATGAGGGGGCAGTGGAAGGGGCACTACTCCTCGGGCATTGCCTAGAGAAGCGAGACCGTCCCGCCCTCCCGCTGGCCCTCCTTCTCTCCCGCCCGGGGCCCGCGCAATTCTCCGCCAGAGGGACAGTCGGCCTCATATGTTAAGACCTCTGATCACTAGATCCCCTGCATCTCCACTGAACAACCAAGGCACCCCTACTCCGGCACAACTCACAAAATCCAATGCGCATGTCCACACTGATGTGGGCAGCCACATGTACACCAGCAGCCTGGCCACCCTCACCAAATACCCTGTATCCAGAATCAGAAGACTTTGTGATGGTACAGAGCCCATAGTTTTGGACAGTCTCAAACAGCACTATTTCACTGACAGAGATGGACAGATGTTCAGATATATCTTGAATTTTCTACGAACATCCAAACTCCTCATTCTTGATGATTTCAAGGACTACACTTTGTTATATGAAGAGGCAAAATATTTTCAGCTTCAGCCCATGTTGTTGGAGATGGAAAGATGGAAGCAGGACAGAGAAACTGGTCGCTTTTCAAGGCCCTGTGAGTGCCTTGTTGTTTGTGTGGCCCCAGACCTCAGAGAAAGGATCACGCTAAGTGGTGACAAATCCTTGGTAGAAGAAGTGTTTCCAGAGATCGGCGATGTGATGTGCAACTTTATCAGTGCAGGCTGGAATCACGACTCCACGCACATCGTCAGGTTTCCACTAAGTGGCTACTGTCACCTCAACTCAGTCCAGGTCCTCGAGAGGTTGCAGCAAAGAGGATTTGAAATCGTGGGCTCCTGTAGGGGAGGAGTGGGCTTGTCCTAGTTCAGCAAATACGTCCTTCATAGGGAACTGAGGCGGATGCCTTCCCGTACCCTCCATCATCTGGATAAAGCAAGAGCCTCTGGACTAAACGGACATATTTCTTATGCAAAAAGGAAAACACACACAACTAATAAACAAATAATAAAAAAGGGACATTTGTGTGCAGTTGGGACAGAAAACCAAGTCCTGCACCTAAAATTGAATAAAAGATGCATTTATATGCAATAGAGACCACACCTGTATTCATATGGGAACAATTGGAATAGTGATATCCTCAAGGTGAAAAAAAAAAATATATATATATATATATATGTCAAAAGGTAGGAAATGCAAAAAAGAAAAAAAAAAAAAGGTGACAGCCGCAGTTGGTGCTGTGATAGCCATGAAATATCCTGGGCCCCCCGAGGCCTCTGACCAATAAACAAGCCGTGAATGGTGAGGACAGTTTCCTCACAGTTTCCATTGCCAACAGCCATCCATTCTTTCTTTTTCCTTTGTCTTTCTTTTTCCTTTTTTAAAAAACAAAACAAAACAAAAAAAAACAAGCCCAGGCGTGGTGGCTCACGCCTGTAATCCCAGCACTCTAAGAGGCCGAGGCAGGCGGATCACCTGAGGTCGGGAGTTCGAGACCAGCCTGACCAAAATGGAGAAACCCCGTCTCTACTAAAACAAATACAAAATTAGCCAGGTGTTGTGGCACATGCCTGTAATTCCAGCTACTCGGGAGGCTGAGGCAGGAGAATTGCTTGAACCCTGGAGGCGGAGGTTGTGGTGGGCTGAGATTGTGCCATTGCACTCCAGTCGGGGCAAGGAGAGCGAAACTCTGTCTCAAAAAAAAAAAAAAAAAAAAAAAAAAAAGCACCTTGAATCAAGTTTCTTTGTATATGGAGGTTCTACGTCTCTCTTTAGGCAGGGACCAGGCAGGACTTCAGAAAAACCCTCATGAGCACATTGCATTTGAAAGATGTTAGACATGAAATGCTAAATGTAGTTTGTACAGAAGTCACACCTTTTTGTCCACCTCACAGATGTGAACTTTATTATTCCTTGTTAGAATTGCTCCAGTTCAAGTCTGCTGCTTTCCTGCAATTTTTCAAATTTTATATTGTATTAAATACAATAAAGTCTGTTTAAAAAATAAGGTCTGTGTGAAACACACGTGTGGGGGTCAGGCTGGATTAAAATGAAATTTTTCTTTAAAAAAAAAAACACTGACAAAAAGCACAAAAATGCCAAAAATGTGACACTAAATAGACAGTGATAACGACAAGGTAACAGTATGACAGCTGAAACAAGAGGCAGCGCATTGCCTTGTTTGACCTCAGCTAAGAACTGTGCCTGGAGAAACACATTTTTCACTGCTCGGGGCATGCTTGTGAATGACTGAGGAGGCGTGACAATGATTGATTTGGGGGTTACAAATAAATTTCAGCGAGCAGGCAAATTTGGAAGTTTGGAACTGCAAATAATGAGAGTATCTCATGAAGCCACTAGAGGATGTCCTTTTGCCCAAAAAGAGAATTCAGCCAAAAAGAAGAAATTTTGCGATATAGAATACAGAAGATTCAACCCAGGAAGGATTGAAGTGGGTGGGAAAGGCATCTTCAGAAAGAGGAAAGTGATAAAATACCTGATGAACCTGATTATACTGAGAAGAGACTTAGATAACTGGTGGAAAATTGTGCTTGGATTAACGACGATTATATATATTTTTAAAACCAAGTTAATAAACAATAGGCTGGGCATGGTGGCTCATGCCTATAATCCCAGCACTTTGGGAGGCCAAGGTGGGTGGATCACCTGAGGTCTGGAGTTCGAGACCAGCCTGACCAACACGGTAAAATCCCGTCTCTACTAAAAGTACAAAATTAGCTGGCTGTGGTGGCACATGTTTGTAATCCCAGCTACTCAGGAGGCTGAGGCAGGAGAATTGATTGAACCCGGGAGGCAGAGGTTGTGGTGAGCCAAGATGGCGCCACTGCACTCCAGCCTGGGCAATAAGAGTGAAACTCCGTCTCAACGAAAAAAAAAAAAAAAAAAAAACAATAAAATGAACACTATCTCTAGGGAAAACAAAAAGTTGGGGTAGAAAAGGAAAAGCCAACATAGGCTTTTGCAAAAATCTCAGTGACAGCAGATATGTCTATCACTGTCATAATGTGAGTAGTGAGCACTGTTCTACCAACACCAGGATGCGACCGTCTTGACAGCACAGGGAGGGGAGTGGGAAGCATGGAATTCTGTGGTGGGGCTGGGGAGCCAATAGAGGGTCTGCAAGTCCAAAATTTCAAGATGGGACAACATAAGCATGTTGTTTGCAGATACAGCAGGTAAATTCCCCCCAAGAAAAAGCATTCTGGGTTGGGGAAAAGCTGGGGTGGGGTGTAGGGCACAGGGTGTAAGAAAATGCTGTATTTTTCTATAAGCATTCTTAGAATATCTCCTGATACATGTATATAATAACTTTCATAAAAATAAAAATTAGGGGAAGAAGATGGGTTTTGAGTGACGGAAGAAAAATTGAAGTATCCAGATGATGTGGTAGTCAGGGCTGTTAACAATGTCCTTGGAAAATTCCAGGCTGAGAGCCAATAAACACAAAGCCCAGAATGGGGCTCAGGCAGATTGCCCAGGAGGCTGCAGAGCAGCATTCAGGGTCAGTGGGCCACCATGCCTTTCTGACACCCTGTATGTGGAGCTGCTGGAGCGACAGCTTTGGACCCAAGTGATGGACGCTCTGAAGAGAAAACAAAACATTCCTGGGTGGGGAAGGAGAATCAAAATATAAGCCCAAGAACTCCCTACTTTTAGAGCAGACCCCAAGCCCGGGTCCAAGCCCCCTGGATAAGGAGAGGAGTGGGAAATCAAACTCAGAAGGCAACCCCTGCTCCCATGCCAGAGGACCACACAGTCTTCCACTCCCAGGTTCACCAGTGTAGGGTTTCTTCCATGACAATTGGCATCGGACCACCAGGACTTTCCCCTTGGGCTGAGGAAACCCAATGTTTAATACAGACCCTCAACTACACACAGGAACAGAAAACCTGGAATCAATCATTTGAGGAAACAGAAGTAGCCCCAAAGAAAACAAAACTAGTAAGGCAAAGAGGAAAGGATTTTCATCATAAGTATAATGAATATCCTGAGAATCGTTTAAGTAGATACTGCATTTTTTAAGTGTTATGAAAAAAATTAACTTATTGAAAATGTTAATGAATGGAAAGTCTTTTTTTTTTTTAATGTTTTAGATGAAGTCTCACTCTGTAGCCCAGACTGGAGTGCAGTGGCATGATCTTGGCTCACTGCAACCTCCGCCTCCCAGGTTCAAGCAATTCTCCTGCCTCAGCCTCCTGAGTAGCTGGGATTACAGGAACACACCATCATGCCCAGCTAATTTTTGTATTTTCAGTAGAGACAAGGTTTCACCATGTTGGCCAGGCTGGTCTTGAACTCCTGACCTCAGGTGATCCACCCACCTCAGCTTCCCAAAGTGCTGGGATTACAGGCGTGAGCCACCGCACCTGGCCACAGATGGAAAGTGTTAACTGTGAGTTGTCCAGCTTCTTGGCAAGTTGAACAAAGAATTAAACAAAACACACAAAACAGCAAAAGAAGAAAGAAGCAATGAAAGTGCAGACTTACTGAAGTGAAACTATGCTCCAGAGAGTGGGAGCAGGCTGGAGCAAGTGGCTCAAGAGCCCAGATTACAATGTTCTTTAGGGTTTCTATTAAGCTAAAAGAATTTGGTAACACCCCCTAGGTGCCCTTTAGAGGCCTCTAATTGATTACACACTTTGAAGGATTGGCCCACAGCCAATCAAAGGCTGAAGTGGAGACCTCGCCTGTGACCAATAAGAGGCTGAAGTGAAGAGTTGGCCTGTAGCCAATCAGAGGCTGAAGTGGAGACTTCTGTCTGGTTATCACAGGAGTGAGGGTCTGGCCTGTAGGCTGCTTAACCTTGCCTAGAACTGCATCTGCTGTCCTTTTGCTTACGCCTTAACCCTTGGTTACCCCAACTCCCTATTCTTCCACCTCAAAAATTACAATGATTGCCAAAATGAAAATAGGCCAGTAGATAAGGCCAGTAAATGAGGCCAGTAGATGTACAATAGCAAAGTGGACACAGCTGAAGATAAAATTTGTAAACTAAAAGATTAAGAAATTATCCCAGAATGCAATACAAACAAATATAAGAGACAGGGGAGATAGATCCAGAAATTCCAGTGGCCATCTAATAGGAATTCTAGAAGGAAAACATAACCTTCATAATTTGGGCAAGGAGGGAGTACTTTCTAAGAATGTTACAAAATCCAAAATAAAAGATTGTCAAATGTGACATTATAAAAGTCAAAATGTTGGTACTGCAAAAAAGAAATGAGCAAAACTAAAACATAAGTGACAGTCTTGGAGAAAATATTTGCATCATTCATAACATGTGAAAACTTAACGTCAAAAATACAGAGAATTTCTGCAAATTTGCTAAAAAAGAGAGGGAAGGAGTAGAAAAATGCACAAAGAAAATGATGTGAGAGAACAAGGAAAGGATACTGGCTGGGTTTTGATGGAGGTCAGTGGCTGGGCCCGAGGTGTAGGTTCCTCCGTGAGGGCAGGGTCTGGTGTGGTGTGAATCTCCCACTGGTGCTGAAGGAGGGAGCACCAGCCTGTCCAGTGGTGGGCAGAGAGGAAGAGAGAGGGGCCAGGCTTGAAAGCAATGAGCAGTCAGACCCCAAAAATGGCTTTATTACAGTTCTAATGCCAGAAATTTAATTTTTTCTCAAACCTCAAAATAATCTCTCAGAAAAGTAAATAAATGACATAATTGGGATGTTTTGAAAATCATTTTCAAAAGCCACCATAAAGCAGTAGTAAATACTTTCCAGAACAAAAGGCAGCCAATGCGGATAATTATTAGGAGCTCAACCATCATTATCTCGCACCCCAAAACAGCCAGCCTTCCAGCCTTTAGTGCGCTAACTGGAGTCTGACAGAAGCCCCAAAGACAAAGACATAGCCTTTAGTAAAAAATAAGAAAGACCTTTGAATTTATGAGTCCATGTGCCATAAGAACATCCAGAATATTCTGACAGAGGCTTCAAACTCCTGCTGCCATCGTCACAGTCTATTCTTGTGGGTTACGTTCTAATTTAGTAACTGGGGAAACATCTCCCCGCCTGGCTGCCACTCAGAGAGCTGGGTTTAGACTCATCATTCCTTTCTTTGACATTAAAAAAGGGTCATCATTTATTTAAGAAGTTTTATTTCAGACTTTTGTGTATGGCAGAGTAAAGGTGTTTCTGCACCCATATCCCCTTGATAATTAATGATGAGCTAGCAGAATGGGAGAGAAAAGAAGGAGAAGGAGACAGAAACACAGACTGTTTAAATGAAGCTAAGAGATACCTGTTCATTGCACATGAACATTTGAGGACTGGGAGCTGCCTTAGCAGAATGTGTAGAATGAAAACTAGATGCCTACCAAGGACTGATTCATCCTACAGTACTTGGAAATGCTCAGGGATTGAAGTCATGGGTACCTTGAAGGCAGACATAAGGTGTGGACCAGAACATGATGGGAAAGATAAAAGTCTGCATAAAAACAACTAGGAACCCTGGACCAGCAGCTGGCTACACATAGATGAATGAGCCGAGGCTGGCTGACACCAGCCAAAGTGCACAGCAGAGCCTATCCTAAATTGCTGACCCACAGGATGGTAAGCTAACTAAGTTGTGTTTTCTTTATTTTTATTTATTATGTTTTTGTTTTTGTTTTTGTTTTTGTTTTTTTTGAGATGGAGTTTTGCTCTTGTCGCCCAGGCTGAAGTGCAATGGCATGAGCTCGGTTCACTGCAACCTCCACTTCCTAGGTTCAAGCGGTTCTCCTGCCTCAGTCTCCTGAGTAGCTGGGATTATAGGAACCCACCACCATGCCTGACTAATTTTTTGTATTTTTAGTAGAGGCAGGGTTTCACCACGTTGGCCAGGCTGGTCTCGAACTCCTGACCTCAGGTTATCCACCCACCTCGGCCTCCCAAAGTGCTGGCATTACAGGCGTGAGCCACTGCGCCCAGCCTCCCTCTCCAGACTCTATTTCCCCTCTGCCACCTGGATACCAGGAGAATTGCTTGAACCCGGGAGGTGGAGGTTGCAGTGAGCCAAGATCACGCCACTGCACTCCAGCCTGCATGACAGAGTGAGACTCTGAAAGAAGGAAAGGGGAGGGAAGGGAAGGGAAGGGGAGGGGAGGGGAGGGGAGAGGAGGGGAGGGGAGGGAGGGAGGGGAGGTGAGGGGAAACTGTTGGAAGCTATTAATTGTAATAGTTATAAGAGTAGAAATGTCGAGTAGAACACACTATTAAAGCTATGAATATGAAAAAAAAGAGTTTTGAATTGTTTTGTATGTTCTCTAACTGATCTATTTCTTTGGATAATCTAGTAATTTCTTCCAGATGTCTTTTAGTAACAACTTGTTGGCACTGGCAAGCGAAAGTGATAGCCATTTCTTGTTGTACTTCATGGCTGCAGTTTGCATTCCTGAAGCTAGCAATTATCTGAAGTTTTTCAGAAGCATAGTTCACAAACTGTTGTTTAAAGCCTCTTTCCTTGGCACAAGTGGTCCAGGACAGCCTTCCATAAAGATACCAAACTCCATACATACATAATGAAACATATACGAATTGCCAGCCTATAGTTTTCCAAATTACTCCTCCAACAGTGATGTCCGTAGAAGTCCTAGATGTAAGAGAAGCTAATCCTGTTATTAAGGTAACCATGAGTTCTTTGTGTGATGCATTATCTGGTGTTGCTGGGTTGATAGAAGCAGTGGGAGTACAGGCTAAAGAGCTAGGGAAAGTTAGGCTCTGACAATCCTAGGAGCACCCTCTGAGCATTTGTAGGGCCCAGGAATCAATGCACAAGTGAAGACCAGCCCAGGGAAAAATGGAATACAATACCCTCTTGAAAATCTGGTCATAACTTGTGGCAATATAGGTCATGACTGAGATCAAATTTCTTGCAAGGGATTAGTGTATGCAGTTTATTCTATATATAGCTGAAAGTAATGGTTTCAAATTTTTAATAATTTCTTGCTTGGATTAAACATTGAGGCATTGTCTTAATTGGTGCATCAATCAGCCATATTTCTTCTGATACCGTCTTCTAAGTGCTAATTTAAGTCACCTTTACATACTTTCAATACACGTGGAGTAGGATGAAACTGAATAAAATTCATCAACCAAAACAGACAGTCAACAAATTTCATCTGTCTTTGCACGTGAAACCTTGTTTGCCACTTCCTTGGTAACCTCCCTGATTTTTTTATTTTTTATTTTTTATTTTTCTTGAGATGGAGTCTCACTCTGTTGCCCAGGCTGGAGTGCAGTGGTGCGATCTTGGCTCACTGCAACCTTCCCTTCCCAGGTTCAAGCAATTACCTGCCTCAGCCTCCCAAGTAGCTGGGATTACAGGCACCCGCCACCACGCCAGAGTAATTTTTGTCTTTTTAGTAGAGACGGGGTTTCACCATGTTGGCCAGGCTGGTCTTGAACTCCTGACCTCGTGATCCACCTGCCTCAGCCTCCCAAAGTGCTGGGATTACAGGCGTGAGCCACTGCGCCCGGCCTTCCTGATTTTTTTCTTAACATCTAGTGTTAAAAGGTTCATCTGGTTTGGGATAAAGCTCAGTCTGTCGATTTGTTCTTCCCGCTCTTTCTTTGAATAAACTCTTCTCTGTTGCTGCCACGTTTATTGAATCCATTGTGTTTTTCACAATATCTAGTATTGGCTTAGCTCCGATAGTGTGCTGTTTCAACCCTGTTTTCACTGCTGATTGTGAGATACACTCCTTAAAGATTTGTTAAAATTCTGAAACTCCTGTAATCTTGCCTGAAATCGTTTACCAAGTACTTCACTGCTTTCTGGCATCCCCTGTGGTTTGTGCTGTCTAGCACTAAGAACTTCCTTTGCTGAAATGAAGAATATATGATTCTGTGCTTCTAAAGGATCCACAACTTTAACCTCCTCCACAAAGAAATGCAAGCATCTTTCCATGTGCTGTCTACATACATCTTCCATATATTCTGGCTCTGATGAAGCGACATCCCAGTGATTATTCAGAATTAAATTATTAGGCTTGGAAAGCTGCTCATTTACCTTGTGAAAAAAATGTTTTTCTGTGTTCATTAGTGTTGATTCAGAGTTTACAAACAAAATGATGACATAAGCATCTAAGCAACACTCATCAATCCAGGTATCCAGCTCTGTAGTGACATCTGTGCCTGGACTGTCTACTAAAACCAGCTCACCTTTCAAGAGGACACACTTTGTCTTTGGCCAAAACACATGTATAAGACAGCCAGCTTCCAAGCCTTTGTCCACATGAAGGGCATAGGACAGCTGATGAACTGTGTTTACACTGTTTTTTCATCTTATCCTTTTGTCATAAGATAGGTTTTATCTCCATTGGTCTCTTAAACACTTTGGAAGCAATTGGTTGTATGATCAATCCCACTAAGGAGAGCTTTATCCCACAACATTGCATTGATAACAGAGCTTGTCCTGCCAAAAAATGCCACCTTCATTTGTCTCCGAGATAGCACCTTACCAATGATAGAAAGCTTGTTTTTATATTCTTACATTTCTACTTGATTATCCTCAGTAGCTCAGTCAAGTTCTAGATTCTTATATGTTGCTATTATTATTCCACCCTGATTGGATCTTCAGATCTTGAGCTGAGAAGGGAGATTCACATACTTCAACAATATGTGATCCTCAGTAACAAACTCCAGTAACTGGTCAAAGATTTCAGTAATTGCCTTCTTATCCAGCACAAAGTGTTTCAGTGGAGAAGCCCCCAAGCTGCCCCATCTTTCCAAGAGATCGCTCTGTTAATTTTTTTTACATCTTTTTTTATCTTGGTATTTCATTTTAGATAGCATCTAATGCTGTCTTTTAGGTCACTGATACTTTCTTCTAAAATTTCTGATCTGCTGTAATTCTCATCTAATATGTTTTTCAACTCAGTTTTTGAAGTTTTCATCTCTAGAAGTTTGATTTGGATCTTCTATGTCACTACGTAGCATTTTTAATCTTTTCTCTATCTTCTTAAACATATGAAATTTGATCAGAATAACTGTTTTAAAAGTCCTTGCCTATTCTATCATCTGTGTCATTTTGGAGCTGGTTTTGATTCACTGATTTTTCTTCTCATTATGGGCTGTGTTTTCTTGCTTCTAGGAATGTCTGGCAATTTTTCTTTGAATGGTAGATATTGATGATTTATTTCATTGGTTGTTGACTATTTTGGTACTCCTATAAATATTTCTGGGCTCTGTTCTGAGATGTCGTTAAGGTACTTTGAAAGAGTTTGATCATTTCTCGGCTTGCTTTTAAAATTTGTCCATTAGAAGCAGATCTGAATTTATTCTAGGATTCATTTTTCTCCACTACAGTGGCAAGGTGGTTCTTAGTACATTAACTGATGCTCTCTGAATGACAAGGTTTTCCATTCCGGTTTTTCGGAACAGGTGCTATTTTTGGCCTTGTGTGTTCTTTGAAGCACTGTTCTCTTCAACCTTTTGGATCATTCTTCCCCCATCCTCAAAGCGTTTCTTCACACATATGTACTGATCAGTGCTCTGCTCAAGATCCCATGGGAACTCTCTGCAGGTGTCCAGGGTTCTTCCTCTGTGCCGCTCTCTTCTCTTCAGAACTCTTGCTCTCTTGGCTTCCCCAATTCCCAGCTCTGTCTCAACTCAGAAAGACCACCATGTTCCGCCTGGTTGCCCCTCCCTGCGCCATGGCCTGAAAGCTTTCTCAGAGCCATAAGGTGGGCAATCTTAGGGTTCACTTTGACGCAGGGCAGCTGAGCCCCCAAATTGGAGTCTTAGCCCAGGAAAGTTCTTAGCTTTACCCAGGAAGGAATTCAAGGGTGAGCCAGGGGTATTAGACAGCAATCTTTTATTGAACCAGAACTGTCCTCACGGAGCAGGGCTAACTCATAGGCAGTGCCCCAAAGCATTTCTTGTGGGCTGTTGGTTACCTGTGTTTCTACCTACTTTTACCCACTTTTAATTACATGCAAAATTAAGGGGTGAATTAATGCAAATTAAGGGGCAGGTCATTCAGAACATTCTAGAAAAGAGGGGGCAACTTCCTGGTCATTGCCACAGAAAGAGGTGGTAACTTCTGGTCATTGCCATGACATTTGTAAACTGTCTTGGTGCTGATGAGAGTATCTTATGCTAATGAGCATTGGGAGCAACTAGAAGCTGCCTTTGAGCCACCTGCTGGTTTTTGCCAGTTTCTTCACTGCGTCCTGTTTTGACCAGATCCTGGCTTGGTCAGCAGGGTTGTGACTGGAAAGCAAATCCTGCCAGCCTCCTTCCTCAACTGCACGTTTCTCATGCTTCTTAGATATCACTGTCTTTGGTGCCTGATGTCCATGCAATGTTGTTCTTTCATGTATTTATTTTGGTTGTTTCAAGCAGGAGATTGTTACTCCATTTCAACCAAATTTAAAGCCCTTTAAAATCTCTTCCATTTTACACTGTCTTCTCCATTTGCAGAGGCATCAGATAAAATTCCTTTGACTTTCTGCAGTCTTTCTTTGAATAGTAAACCTAAAAATATACTTATTTTTGGATATTTAAAATATTTCTCTAGTTATTATAGTGCAAGTTCATTTTTATATTTCAATATCAGGCTTTCATTTTAATAGCAATATTATTTTCTACCTTATACTTACTCATATTACAACTTCTCTCAAAATGCTCTGTGAAGCCATTTCTAAAGTTGAATCAGGAAATTATCTAGCAAAGGCCAGGAATTAGGATTATGGCTTTATTACAATAATAGAGTGTCACTACCATACTTCTTTATAAGGCAAAAATGTTATCCATATTGTGAATGAAATTTCCATAGTAGTGTCTTCAAAAAGTAATGAGTACTTTAGTATTTTTTTAATATACAGAATAAATATTTTTTTAAAGTATCAGTGTTTTCCAGGTTTCCTTGAAGTCCTAACAAATATAAGAACATTTCCCATTATTCTAACTGTGTACTTATATTCCCACTATTTTCCTCCATTATAGAAATGCCATACTGTCTTTAAGTGTTCTCTTTTTTCTTTCATTATTAAAATAGTAAAAATGATATTCAAAGATTTCCATGACTGAGCCTCTACTGACTGTTTCACACTTTCTGCTCCACCCACATGGAGGATTCTAAGGCCCCCTCACGGGCCATACTTAACTGTGTCCACCTCCATGTTCTCTGTTATCCTCCTGAGATGAACCTCCTGCCCCTTTCCAATGTGTGCCATCCGATCTCACCCTTCCGTAAGGAGCCAGCCCCAGCACCAAATCCAGGAAGCCTTTTCAAGATTTCCCTCCACCTCAACTCAACTCTCCCTCTTGGAAATTCCACTGAATTTTGTTTAAACTTGATTTTAACTTTGTTTTAGAGTCTTTTGTTTATATTTCTTACACTGCTAGATCAGTGATTCTCAAAGTTTAGTGCGCATCAAAATCACCCAAGGAGCTTGTAAAGACTTTGCTGAGCCCTACTCCCAGAGTCTCTGGGACCAAAGAATTTCTAGCATGCTCTCAGCTGATGCAGATCCTGCTGGTCCAAGGAGAACACTTTTCAGAACCCTGTGGTCTAGACCCCTTGAAAGTAGTATCCATGTCTCATGCATCTTAATTCCACAAAGTATCCAACAAAGTGACTTGCAAAGTGCTGTTCAATAGGTTAGCTTTATTAGTATTGAATTTCTGGACTTCAAAGGTGTATTTTAGAAAATGTCGTATGTATCAATGTAATAAAAAAGAATCACAGTTACAATGAAGAACCCAAAAGAAGTTGAAAAAAGAGCATAGGATCTGTTTATAAGTTTGCCTGCTTCATCAGTGAATAAAGCAATGGGGGTTGGGGGGAGGCAGGCGCAGTGGCTCACACCTGTAATCCCAGCACTTTGGGAGGCCAAGGCAGGTGGATCTCCTGAGGTCAGGAGTTCGAGACCAGACTGGCCAACATGGTGAAACACCGTCTCTACTAACAATACAAAAATTAGCTGGGCCTGATGGCAAATGCCTGTAATCCCAGCTACTCGGGAGGCTGAGGTACGAGAATTGCTTGAACGCGGGAGGTGGAGGTTGCAGTGACCCGATGTCACACCACTGCCTAAGCCACAGCGTGAGACTCTGTCTCAAAAAAAAAAAAAAAAAAAAAAAAGCAAAGGGGGGAAGTACGAAGTTGGGTGATTTCCAATATCATATGTACCAAAGTTTCTGGTTAATTATTCCAGTTTTTGCACAGAGAAAAGGTTTTTTTGTTCTTACCATTGCATAGTTCTAGGGATTAGTAAGTTCAATATGAGTGTTTTGTTCATTATTACTTGGGAAAAATCAATAGAAAATCTGGTGTTAAAAAACATCAGATACAAAATTTAAAGCTCAACAAAAGACAGCCATGCGTAGGGCAGTGGGGAGGTGCAGAACTCTGAGGATGAGGTTGTCTGGGTGTGAGTCCTGGCTGCATCTTGATGCCTGTGTGCATTTGGGTGCTCTCCTCTGTAGAAGAGCGCTAAAAATAATCATGCATGCTTCCGAGGGTAAAGTTCTCAAAACAGTGCCTGGCATACAGCTTTAGTTAAAAATAAACTAGCAGAGAGTCTGCTTAGGTTAGTCTATGCTTTCAGTGACCGTATTTTTCCAACTAAAATTTAGAACAAGAGCGATACTTGGGCCACTTACGGGAATAAAAGTTTCTCAAAATAATCCTGTGATTCCTCAGATATTTCTAGAGTTTATAGAATCCAAAGGCAGTATATTACATAGAAAAAAAAATGTTTAGACACTCCAGGTTGTCTAGTATCCATATTTGTATATTCTCAGCCCCCATCTTCCATTTCCCCCAAATATCATATATCTCCAGGGAAAGGAAACCAGCGTATTCTCCTCCCAAATTGAGAGTAGGCAGGAATAACTCACATTTTCATCAGTTTCTCCAGTCTTTATATGGGTAGATTGATCTAGAATGGAAAGGATTTCATGGTAACGATTGTAGGGAAGTTTAGATGTTTTCCCAGAAGGTTTGATCATTTTAGTTTATAAAACAAATAGGTTAACAGAAAAGAAAAAAGGCTTACTGGCCGAGTGTGGTGGCTCACGCCTATAATCCCAATACTTTGGGAGGCCAAGGCGGCGGATCACTTGAGGTCAGGAGTTCAAGACCACCCTGGCCAACATGGTGAAACCCTGTCTCTACTAAAAATACAAAAATTAGCTGGGCCTGGCAGTGCACACCTGTAACCCCAGCTACTCCAGAGGCTGAGGTGGGAGAATCGCTTGAACCCAGGAGGCGGAAGTTCCAGTAAGCCGAGATCTTGCCACTGCACTCCAGCCTGGGTGACACAGTGAGATTCTGTCTCAAAAAAAAAAAAAGGATTACAAATTTTATAAACGTACATATGAGCTTCGGAGTCATACAAAATATAAAAACTCAGGCCAGGCGTGGCGGCTTACTCTTGTAATCCCAGCACTTTGGGAGGCCAAGGCAGGTGGATCACCTGAGGTCAGGAGTTCCGGACCAGACTAGCCAACATGGTGAAATGCCGTCTCTACTGAAAACACAAAAATTAGCTGGGTGTGGTGGTGGGTGCCTGTAATCCCAGCTACTCAGGAGGCTGAGGCAGGAGAATTGCTTGAACCCAGGAGGCGGAGGTTGCAGTGAGCCAAGATCTCGCTATTGCACTCCAGCCTGGGCAACAAGAGCAAAACTCCATCTCAAAAATAAAATAAAATAAAATAAAAATAAAAACTGAAAGAAATCGCCAGATGGTTGACACTTTTCTACCATCTTGTGGTTACAGAAAGAATGGAGGCTCAGAGCACGGCCAACGTAAATTATGGCAGTAAGAGATTATGGAGGGAGAGACGAGGCCTGTCTCACAAAGGGGAGTCCTGTTATGTAGATGATGAAACCTCACAGGTTGCAGCTCTCGGAGAGAATACATGGTAAGAGTTTCCTTCAGACCTTTAAAGATGTTGGATTCTCAGTTAATCTTTTTTAGATCTGGATAAGAGAGGGCCTCAGAGGAGGCCTGGCTGCACCGTGCAGATTCTGCACAGATGCAAAGTTTCCCAGGAAAGACAGTTTTTCAGGGCTACTTCTGTTTGCAAGCCCTCTGAACAGCCATCTCAAAATACGTCAAAGAAGGATACTTTGGAGTGAAATATTTTGGTTTCCTTCACGATCCTCACTGGAACCCATGATAGCCCACATCCTGGCCCTGAAGTTTTAGGGTGTTAGGTAATGTATATAAACAAAATAAGCCAAAGGACACCTAAAAAACAAGCAGGCAATTTCTCAGCAACTTTATTACTTTTATAACGGGTTAATAATTCTATGGAGAGCCCTGGAATTTACTACAACTTTCTGCCTTTGTTTCTTATAGAAGCAAAGGGAGTTACCAGTAAGGTAGTAATAAATTCCAAGAATCACTTAAAGATTGCTTTTATCCATGAGAAACATACCTCAATAACATGTGGGGGCCAAGGCAGGGCTTTCCCTTTGACCCTCTCTGAAGTTTCACTGAAAAATCAACTTGCAAAAGGCAGATTAATAGGAGAAAAGCCATACAAATTCATTTAACATGTATACATTGGGGGCCTTCTGAATGAAGACCCAACTTCCCAGTGAGGTACAGAAGCTTATATACCATTCTGAGGTTAGGAGACAGGAATAACAAGGGTGGTTGCAGGAGAATAGAAAATTCCAGGCAGTGGTTTCACATGGCTAGCAAAAGGAAACTGTAGAAATAGCTGCAGAAACTATGGGCTGATAAGACCCTAAAAGCCAGGGTGCGGACTAAGCTGGGTGAGACTAACCGGACTCAACGTGGCACTGGATTTGACCTAGGTTTCACCTAGAACCTCATTATACGCTCATTAGCATACAAATCACACACCCACCAGCACCATGACAGTTCCAGGAACATCCATATTTGGTGTGAAAATGAGTAGCACTAGAGTTCCAGAACATCTCCACCTTTTTCCAGGAATCTTCATGAATATTCCATCCCTTAGTTAAAGAAACCCACAAAGGCAGCCCCTCCAAACCCCTTTGCATGTGACTGTCTCTTGAGTACACCTGCACTCCCCTTTCTTGAGTGTGTACTTTTCACTTTGCAATACATTTCCGTACTTGGACTATTTTCTGACTCAGCCTTGAATTTATTCTCACTGGGGTGGAGGTCCCACTAGCAACTGGGGACTTCCCGCAGCCCACTGATGTCAGTTACAGAAAGAATGGGAGCTTGGATCCTGGTAAAACAGGTTATGGGAGTGGAGAGAAGAATTCCATTGAGGGGCAATAAATGATTACTAGAATGAATGACTGTATGGGAAACAGAAATTAACTTGTAAATAGTTCTCTTTGGAATTTAAATGATCCCTGGAGCAAGTTATTATCTTCTTTTCTGTAATGGATAAGGAGATAACAGGGAAGACAGCAAGAATAATTGTTCTCCTTGGTGAGTCTGTCCTACCTGTATGTATAGATAGGAGAAAACCAGTGCTTATTGATCTCTAAGGGTTTTTAATTTAAAATACTCATTATACCAGGGACCTGTATTTTGGAGTGAAATACTTTGAAACAACCAAAGGCAGAGAGATAGTCCCAAATTATCGATGAGAAGATTAAGTAAAGTGGGCAGAAGAGAAAAAGATTATATGTCTATAATACTGCTACCCTTCCATTACTTCTCACATCGGGCAGAATTAAGATATTTCCCAAGACTGAGACACTCATGGAAGGCAGCCAGCCGTCACCACAAATCTTCATAAGCTCACTGCAGCTTTCCTGCTGCTACACACAGGCACATTCTCTCCCCCTCTTCTTTTTTTTCCTTCCTTCCTTCCTTCCTTCCTTCCTTCCTCCCTCCCTCCCTCCCTACCTCTCTTCCTCCCTTCCTTCCTTCCTTTCTTCTTTCCTTCCTTTGCTGAGTCAAACTCAATTGTGTGTTACTTCTACAAACATTTTGTTATAAATATTTTCAAACATACACAAAAATAAAGGAAGTATAAAATGAATCTTCACGTATTTATTACCCAGTTTCAAGTATAAACATTTTGCCAATCTTGTTTTATCTACTCTCCACCCCTTCCTCTCCTCACCACTCAATGTTTCTCTGGATCATTTTAAGGCAAATTCCAGGTTTTCAGTCTTAAATGTATCACGTCTGTCTAAAAATAAGCACTTAAAAAAAACCTAATCACAGCACATTATCATACTTTCCCAAATTAATATTTCTTGATTTCATCTAATACCCAGTTTGTTTTAAAATTTTCTCAAAAATAACTTTATGCAGTTGGTGTGTTCAAATAGGCTCTATGCAAAGTCTACATCGTGCATTTGATAAATCTCTTAAGCTCTTTCAATATGTGATACTTCCCCTTCTTCTTTCTGGCTTTCAGGCCATATGTTTGGTCTGCTCAATTTTCCACAGTCTGGATCTTGATGAATTGCATTCTTATGGTGTAACTAACACATTCTTTTGCTTCTTGTATTTCCTGTAAGCTGATGTTTACATTTAGAGGCTTGTTTAGACGCAGGTTTGAATTTTTTTAGCATGAAAGTTCCAGTTGCACTGCAGAATGTCTGGTGATCCCAGGTTTAGCACTTTTGAGGTTGATCAGTTAAAAAGTAGCTGTTTGGGAGGCAAAGGGCACATGTTAGTCGCCTTTGCATGCCCATTGTCAAGCACAGCATTGTGCCTAGAGCAATCCCTGGCAATGTTTACTGAGTTGAAGCAGTTGATGAAACCCAGATTTGTGAGACTTCAGATACAAATCTTCTATTCTCAGCTGAGATGCCTAAACTTTATTAATTCACATCTGTATGTTGTAAAAGTTCTATTTTATTTTACGACCTTAGCCAGTTTTGACCAGTTCACCTTGGCTGCGGTTGTTTCTGTTTCATCTTTTTCTCATAAATAGTGTCAACCTTAAATAATGAGATTCAGAAAATATGACTAAGGATAGAGTTTATTCGAGTGCAAAGCTTGAGGATAGCCACTCATGAAGCGTCAGCTCCAAATGAATATGGTCAGCATTCCCAAGTGGAGAAGTTAAGGTTTCACTTTTACAGACAGAGACAAAGATATTTTCAGAGGATTACAACATTTTCCATAGGAGACCAGTGCATACATTAAAGCAATTTGATTGGTCACAGATTGCTACGTGCCAAGGAAGATTACTTTATTACTCAATGAGGAGGGATGGTGATCTGAGGAGGTCTTCTCTCTCGTGCTGTTTGGTCTTCTTAATTATTCACAGGGGGAAAAAAAGGCGGAAGTTGCCGCTGCACGTGACTCAGGCTGCATAGCCACATTTGTCTCAAGGCTCAGAATAACTTAAAGTTCCAACAACTTGAAGTTTGAATTATTTAATTTCACAATAGAAATTAAAACAAAGATTTTAACGTTTCTTAATAAGAAGAAGCCATCTTCATGCGAATTGTGAAATTTTTAAATTAAATATATTTTTAAAGTTAGTAATTTACTCAAGCGTTGTTTAGACATTGTTTTAGAAACTGGTATCTTGAGTGTCTATGCTTGTCATCTTTCATGATGAATGGTCCCTGTTTATTTGCAAAACTTGCCAATCTGCCAAAGCTTTATTTGCTGGGAATTAGCATGTCTGGGAAAGTAACACTTTCTTTTTGCTTTAGTAACATACAAATATTTTTAAAAAAGGATATACATATTTTTAGGAAAATATTCTTAGCAAACCCAAGATTGAGATCTATGAGTTCATTTTTCCCCTATTTTTCTACACCTTTAAAAAAATTCCCCTTTGGAGATTGAAACAGGAGAAAGGGTAGGGCCCAATATCACACAGGGACAAGAGTTGAGCCTGGGAGAGTCTTGTATTCAGGACCCAAACTGGGTGCAGGGCTGGCTCATTAGGAGTTGAAATGCCTCTGCACCAGTCACGGGTGGAAATAGGTGCATTCACATGAACATGGTTGCATCAGCTTCATCCACAGGAGCCCTGAACCCGTCATTAACCTGTGATCTGGTTGGAATCTATGTACCCTATGGGTCAATGTGAAATTACTTCTCAGGGAGGCAACCACAGCTGAGGGAGTCCACAAGGTAAAATTTCCACAGAAGATAAACTCACATGTAAGAACTGCAAAAAACATACAAGAATGTCTAGTATCGTGACAATAGTAAACCCAGGTCTGCTGCATACAGATTGTATGTACGATCGTAGGTGTGTAATTCACATTGATCACAATTGCACACTCATACACACACCCCATGCAAAACCTTACGGTAGGAATTCTAAAGTGACCTGATAAAAATATTGAATCCTCAAATTGATAAAGTAGAGAATGACATTTGTGGAACAAGAACATTCAAAATTTTAAAATGCCATTATGGCAAGGGAACAGATGAGTATTTTTAAAAAATCAGATCTCTGGCCTGGAGTGGTGGCTCACGGGGCCAAGGTGGGTGGATAACTTGAGGTCAGGAGTTCAAGACAGACCAGGCTGGCCAACATGGTGAAACCCCATCTCTACTAAAAATACAAACATTAGCTGGGCATGATGGCATGTGCCTGTAATCCCAGCTACTTGGGAGATTGAGGCTGGAGAATCACTTGAACCCGGGAGGCAGAGGTTGGAGTGAGCCAAGATCACGCCATTGCACTCCAGCCTGGGCAACAAGAGCGAAATTACATCTCAGAGAAAAAAAAAAAATCAGATCTCTTGATAATTTAAAATCTCTGAATATAGACTAAATAGAGGACATATCAAGGAGCAAAATAATTAGCAAATTAAAAAAGAAAACTGAGAAAATCTCCTAGTACAGAGCAGAGATGAAGAGATGGAAATTAGAAAAAAAAAAGTGAAGAGACATGATATAAATTTAAAGAAATGTCAACATGGTGAAACCCCGTCTCTACTAAAAATACAAAATTTTAGTATTTTAGCTGGGCTAAAATTTAGCTGGGCATGGTGGCGCGTGCCTGTAGTCCTAGCGACTTGGGAGGCTGAGACAGGAGAATTGCTTGAACCCGGGAAGCGGAGGTTGTAGTGAGCTGAGATCACGCCACTGTGCTCCAGCCTGGTGACAGAGCAGGAGCCTCAAAAGAAAAAAAAAAAGAAACGTTTGAAAGAGTGAAAAAAATGAATGTTAAAAATGGAATAATTAGGCCAGGTGCAGTGGCTCACACCTGTAATCCCAGCACTTTGGGAGGCCGAGGCAGGTGGATCATGAGATCAGGAGATTGAGACCATCCTGGTGGCACGTGCCTGTAGTCCCAGCTACTCAGGAGGCTGAGGCAGGAGAATTGCTTAAACCCGGGAGGCAGAGGTTGCAGTGAGCCCAGATCGTGCCACTGCACTCTAGCCTGGGTGACAGAACAAGACTCCATCTCAAAAAAAAAAAAAAAAAGTAATAATTAAAGAGATGAAAGCTGAGATTTTCCTAAACTGAAAGATAGGAGTTTTTTCATTGAAAAATTCTACCTAATGTTGGCTGGGCGTGGTGGCTCACGCTGTAATCCCAGCACTTTGGGAGGCCGAGGCAAGTGGATCATGAGGTCAGGAGATCGAGACCATCCTGGCTAACATGATGAAACCCCGTCTCTACTAAAAAATACCAAAAATTAGCCAGATGTGGTGGCGGCTGCCTGTAGTCCCAGCTACTTGGGAGGCTGAGGCAGGAGAATGGCGTGAACCTGGGAGGTGGAGCTTGCAGTGAGGCCAAGATCGTGCCACTGCACTCCAGCCTGGGCGACAGAGGGAGACTCCGTCTCAAAAAAAAAAAGAAAAGAAAAATTCTACCTAATGTTAAATAAATAATAATTATGGAATTATTATAGTAAATTCCTAACTAGCCCCATCATAGTAAAACTGCAGAACTTTAAAGAAAAATCTGGAAAGCTATCACAGGAAAAAAAAAGTGGTACATAAATAAAGGAATTAACTATGAATGATAAACAGATTTCTCACCAGACACAATAGATGTCAGAGCACATAGCAGTAATAAGTTCACAATACTGAGATAGAATAACTGACTCAAGAATTCTGGCTGGGCATGGTGGCTCACACCTGTAATCCTAGCTAGCACTTTTGGAGCCTGAAGTGAGAGGATTGCTTGAGTCCAGGAGCTCAAGCCAGGCTGGGCAACATGGTGAGACCTCATCTTTACAAAAAAAATAAAATAGAATTAGGCATGGTGGTGTGAGCCTCTCATCCCAGCTACTCAGGAGGCTGAGGTGGGAGGATTGTGCCACTGCACTCCAGCCCAGGCAACAGAGAGAGACCATGTCTCTCTAAAAAAAAAAAAAATTCTATTACCAGCCAAATTATTATTCAGGAGGGGTATACAAAATGATTACCATATGTATTTCCTCTGCCACCAAAATCCCACTAAATAACTGTAAATAATTATAGAGCTATAAATCCACAATGGGTCATATGTTTTTGTAAGTTTTGCAAAAATAAAGATATTTGAACTGCAACTTGTAAAGAATATTGTTTCCACTCTGACTCCCCATCTTATCTGATGCCTCTGGTAATCCTTTTTTGTATTTTACACTTAAATATGTAGGCAGAACCAAGGAGAACTAGAGAAAAGGCTTCATCATGAAATACAGAGACCAAAACAAACATCATAAAAGATAACTTAGAGACAATGCAAGAAGCAGAAGATTTTGTGGAAAAAAAAATCTGTGATTAAACATTTTTCAATACAGAAAATATCATATCCCTGAAAAAAGGAACATGTTCTATTTCTAAAAGAACCAGCAGAAAAAATATATATAGTAGAAGAAATTTTTAAAAATCAGTAGAAATAGTTGAAGATAAAGTAAATCAAGACATATCCCAAAAACAAGATTTTAAAAATTTTTTTAAAAATTAAAGATCAATCTTGGTGGTCCAATATACGAGTAACAGGAATTGTAGAAAAAACAAAGTATAAAAAAGAAATTCAAGAGAAAGTCCTGTAACTTAAGGATACATATTGGATTGAAAGACCCCCACCGAAGCTCTAGCACAATGAATAAAACATTCCCCTACCAAAGGGTATCCTTGTGACATTTCCAAGTCATACACAAATCACCTAAAATCAAAATGGTATCACATTCTCAACAAGAATATTGCACACTAAAAAACAAGAGGAAATAAATTCGAATTTCTGAGGGAAAATTATTGTTAACTCAGAATTCTATATCTAGCCGAATTATCAATTACACATAAGGCTAGAATAAAGACATTTTTAGGTATAAAGGGCCAAGAGTAATTTCGTTTCTTCCTCAAGAAGCTAATAGAGGACATACCAAAACAAAGAACTAAACTAAGAAAGAGGAGAAAGACACTTAAGTGGCCAGAAACAGGGGTTTCAACACAGAACAGTGAAGAAAATCTCAAGTGACAGATACGGCAAGAAAATAAAGGAATTCAAGTTGTAAAACAAACCAAAAATTGAAATGTTTACATGTTTAACTATAGTTAAATTGTTAACTATAGGTATCATAATAAAATGTTCACCTATGGGAAAACAGTATTAAGAGGTCTCAATATATGGGATTATTTGAGAAAAAATATATCTATACATTCATAAAAAATTCTGTAAATAATAGAAACACAAATACTAGCTCTGGGCCCAACAATTTAACAAATAATGGTTAATAATCACAGTCATGACTGGGAGTGGTGGCTCACACCTGTAATCCAAACACTTTGGGAGGCCAAGGTGGGTGGATCATTTGAGGTCAGGAGCTCGAGACCAGCTTAGCCAACATGGTGAAACCCTGTCTCTACTAAAAATACAAAAATTAGCCGGGTATGCTGGTGCATGCCTGTAGTGCGAGCTACTCAGGAGGCTGAGGCAGGAGAATTGCTTGAACCCAGGAGATGGAGGTTGCAGTGAGCCAAGATTGCACCACTGCACTCTAGCCTGAGCTACAGAGCAAGACTCTGTCTCAAAATAATAATAATAATAATTATCACAGTCATAATTTGTATCTGCATTGAATGACAGCTACACAAACATAAAGAAATGTAAATAGGGGCCAGGCACAGTGGCTCACGCCTGTAATCTCAGCACTTTGGGAGGCCGAGGCGGGTGGATCATGAGGTCAGGAGATCGAGACCATGCTGGCTAACATGGTGAAACCCAGTCTCTACTAAAAATACAAAAAATTAGCCGGGCGTGCTGGCGGGCGCCTGTAGTCCCAGCTACTCAGGAGGCTGAGGCAGGAGAATGGCGTGAATCCGGGAGGTGGAGCTTGCAGTAAGCCGAGACGGCGCCACTGCACTCCAGCCTGGGTGACAGAGCGAGACTCCATCTCAAAAAAAAAAAAAAAAAAAAAAAAAGAACTGTAAATAGGAAGTATCAATTTAACCAAACATGTGGTATGACCATATTAGGCAAGGACATCTTTGATACAACTATATTACACAAAAGAGTATATATAATATAATTTCATTTATAAAAGTCTAGAAAATACAAACTAATCTACAGTGACAGAAAGCAGATCATTCGTTGCCTGAGGGAGGTGATATCGTGGTGGAGTGAAGGATTCCAAATGGGCACAGGTGATCTTTAGAGCATGATAAATATGCTCATTTTTCTTTATGTTCATGATGGCTTCACAGGTGTATATGCATGCCAAAACTTTTCAAACTGTACACTTTAAATATGCTCACTTTATTGTATGTCAATTTTATCTCAATAAAATTATAAACAAAATTTTTTAGATAGGGTCTCACTCTGTTGGCCAGGCTAGAGTGCAATGGTGTGATCATAGCTCACTGCAGCCTCAAACTGCTGGGCTCAAGCAATCCTCCCACCTCAGCCTCCCAAGTAGCTAGGATCATGAGTGCTTGTCACCACACCCAGCTAACTTAAATGAAACATTTTTTAACACAATAAAAAAACATATTGTTAAAATGACTAACTTAAAAAAAAATCTAACAATACCAAATGCCAGTGAGGACACAGAACAACTAGAATTCTCATGCACTGCTGGTTAGACTGCAAAATAATATAGCCACTCTGAAAAACCACTTGGCCGTTTTTATAAAGTTAAACCTGGAGTTCTCACACGACCCATCAATCCTAGTCCTTGGTCATTACCCAAAAGAAATGAAAATGTCTGATCACACAAAAACTTTACATAAATGTTCATAGGAGCTTTAGTTATAACCATCAAGACCTGGAAACAACCCAATTATCCTTCAACAGGTGAATAAACTATGATATATCCATAAGATGAAATACTACTCAGAAATAAATGAGAACAAAGTATTCATACACATAAAAACACAGATGAATTCCTAATCTTGCAGAGAGAAAGAAGCAGACCTCAAGAGGTTACATACTGTATGATTTGTGTGTGTGGGTGATGTTCTAAAAAAGGCAAAACCGCAAGGAATGGGGAAGAGATCAGTGCTTGCCAGGGGTCAGGCGTTTGATTTTAAAGGGGTAACATTCAAGAGTTTACTTTTTATACGATGGAGCTCTCTTGCATCCTAATTGTGGTGGTGGTTATAAAAATCTATACAGGTGTTAAAACTTACAGAACTATAGACCCCAAAAAAGGTCAATAGATAAATTTTAAAATTAATTTTTAAAAATCGATGCATCTTGAGTATGTGTAGCAATAAAAGGACAATACTGGATGATGCAACTTAACATGAGTAATTGATGGTCTCTTCCCTAATGACCTGGAAGTCACAGACCGACCTGATGGCCAATCAACATTCAGCGTGTAGGCCTTGACTAGAGAGTGAGGGAGAGTTTTCTGAACACTGTATTTCCTTAAAAATTTACCAGTAAGTACATGCTACAGATAGAACTGTTTCTTACGTCTTCTAAAGCTCTCAGGTAGTAAAAGTGGCAATGTGAGGTGAAATTTTTTATTAAAAGTTACTATTAAATAATAACAACGAATGATATTTCAAGCAACTTCCTTAAAGTGATTTTATCACAGGTTTCAATGGACTAAAATGGCAATAAATTTAAGCATATTAAAGCTACGTAAACATCTTTAAACCTGAAAGCTGAGGATCTGAAGAATTTGAAAGGCATAATTTCGTGCTTTAAATTTCATATAAGGAAAGAACGAATTTGCACATTCTAGGATAAGCTGTAACAGTGCATATTAGCGCAGTTCATGGCATTATGGCTACAGCTTAAATGTGGAAAGAGTTAAGAAAATCTTGTTAAACTGACACAGACTTTTACAACACGATGTGTTTTGTCTGTTTTTTGCCAGCAAAGGCCAACTCAAGGACACTCCTCACCCAGCACTCACGACCCAGACAAGGGTAGAGCCAAGGGCCTCTGCAAGTAGGTGTCAGCGCTAGCTTTTCTTCTTGTCTTCACAGCCTGGGATGGGGCCGGTGAGGAGTCAAAGCACCCAGCGCTGTAACTGAATATTTAATCACCCGCTCCTTCCTGGTTGATGATTAGCATTTATTACGCAAAAACACTGAAACTGCTGTGCCTGTCCGGTTTAGAAAATGAAATCTATTCCTTTTCCAGAGACAGTTTGCTCCGGCCACTATGAGACGTCCAACACGGCACAACTCCTGACTCAACTCCAGGGAGTCCCCCCACTTTTCTGACAAAATAGCTCGGGATGAAGAAGGGACGTTTAAAGTCGGGATGATAAGCATTTTACCTGCTTGAGAAGCACAAAGCCTGCGACTAAAGACAGTCACAGAGTCTGGAAGGAGAAAGGTACTTTAGAAGAAATCATCTAGGCCAGGCGCGGTGGCTCACGCCTGTATTCCCAGCACTTTGGGAGGCCGAGGAGGGTGGATCACCTGAGATCAGGAGTTCAAGACCAGCCTGGTCAACATGGCAAACCCCCATCTCTACTAAAAATACAAAAATTAGCTGGGCATGGTGGCGGGCAGCTGTAATCCCAGCTACTCAGGAGGCTGAGGCAGGAGAATTGCTTGAACCCAGGAGGCAGAGGTTGCGGTGAGCTGAGGTCATTCCATTGCACTCCAGCCTGGGCGACAGAGCAAGACTCCGTCTCATAAACAAGAAGAAGGAAGAAGAAGAAGAAGGAGAAGAAGAAGAAGGAGAAGGAGAAGGGGAAGGAGAAAGAGAGGAGGAAGAGGAAGGAGGAAGAGGAGGAGGAGGAGGAGGGAAGAAGAAGAAGAAGAAGAGAAGAAGGAGAAGGAGAAGAGGAAGAGGAAGAAGAAGAAGAAGAAGAAGAAGAAGAAGAAGAAGAAGAAGAAGAAATAATCATCTAAAGTAAACCAATGGACTCATTCAACTAATAGTACCACCAGGGCGGGGCAGGGGTTAAGGTGGGCATATAAACTGGGGCATAGTTGACAGCTCGGTTGATGGCAGCTCTACCTTTGCAAACCTATTTAGCAAGGAAATGGAAGTCAGTTTCCTTGTTTTTCAGGTAAGAAGCTAAGGGAGAAAGTTCAGGGAGGTGAAACAATTTACCACGTTCAAGGAGCTGGCAGGTGGCAGAGCTGAACCCAGCAGTGGCACTCCTGATTCTGAGTCGGTCATGCCGCCCTTGAGGGCAGAAGGCAGCAGCCCTAGGAGTCAGGTGCCTGGGCAGGCGTCTCAGGTGACAGGCTCCAGGCCAGCTGCACGGGGCTGGTCCAGGGGTTGCCTCCACCGTGTGAGACCTTTCCAGGCTCCTCCTGCCTCACACTGGGTCCTTCCCAGAGCTGAAATCAAAGTGGGTCCAATCCCATTTACACACGAGCTGCAGGTGCTTACCCCTGTGCAGGGATATCAAATCTGTGAAGGGAAGGAGACAAATGCCCTCAACTGGGAATGGCAGGCCATGAAGGGGCGGGCACTGAGGTGAGCTAGGGGCTTCTCTACCCCACACACAAACTGAGTAACCCAAACATTCTACCAGCTGCAAAGCTGATACTCTGACAGCAGCCAGCGGCAAGACGTTGAACCACTTTGTCAAGTAGCTCTTAGGGAGGACCAAACTGAGAGGAAAAATCCGTTTTTCTCAAAGTCATTTGCTTCCAGGGCACAGTGTTTTTGCAGTCCATCTCCTCTCTCCCCAGCACCTTGGCCTGGTGTTAAAGTTCAGTCCATATCCATCAAATTGAAGGCAGCAGCTTCCTGGGGCCTCCCGCCTTAGACTCAGGTGTTTAGACAAAAAGTATTTCAGGTAGTTAGTACTAAGTGGAACTCAAAGCGGAGAGCAAATAGACACCCCCAGGGTTTACTGACCCTCCTCAAGCTCTCAGGTTGGTGGAGATTTCAAAGGTCCTTCGGGTGCCATAGCATGGCCTGCCTCCTCGACTGCACGGTGACACCCTCATATCCTGTTCATGAAGATATTGCACAGGAAAGATGCATCTAGAGACATGTTCCTGGCAGAGGCTGCCAAGCCCACATCTCCAGGTTTGCAGTTCACACAATCATAGGGTGTCTCTTCAGCAAAGTGTTTGCTATTTCTAACAACGGTCTCTGGGAAAGGTTATCAGATTTCATTCAACTGACCCATTAAAACTTCAAGTTCGATACCTTTCTTGCCTTTCCTTTATTTGTACTCAGTTGAAACAAGGTGGAGCCCTGGAGCCCACTGTGCTGAATGGGCTTCCTGCTTCAGTAAGGGAGAGGATGTCCACACAGTAATGCCTGGAGCCCCTCAGGCACACCAAGTGGTACTCCCACCCCTTACTGCCCCTACTTCCTTTACAAGCACAGAAACTGATGCCAGCCAAGTTAGGAATAAAGGAAGAATTAGGAGCATGCCAGACACTCCCCGGAAGGCTGAAGAATGGAGATCAGAAACCATGGGAACCAGGGCAGCAAGAACAGCTCGGCCACCTCTTCACACTTCATTTTGAAATGAATGAACCCCCAACTCACTCCTCATATTTGCATTAGTCCACTGGAGGCAAAATCCCAGCGGAGGGCCTGGTTGGCCCTCTTTACAGCAAATGCCCACCATTTGAATGTGGCTAAGGCTGTGGAAAAAAGGCTCTGCTAGGAAGGGCCCACTGGTTTCTGAACAGGGAGCAAAGGGAACTTTGATTTACATCCCCACCAAGCCTTTACCCAGTGAAGAATAGGAATTCCCAAAATGGAACTCAGGATGCTTACAGAGAAGGAGATATGGTAAGGGAGCAGGCAAAACAAGATGCTGTCCACAAAACCGCTCTATCAGGGCAGTGGATGGAGCTGTGGACTCCTCAGAGGATGTCTACACCATGGTCAACCCTGGGCCCTTTAAGCTGGCAATGGCGGCGACCTTGTCTTGTACTCAGCAGGACTCTCTCGCCTCCTCTTCCTCAAGCCCATTCCCTCTGTTTGCTGTGGGAAAGGTGAATGGGCGCTCAGATTCATCCAGGTTTCAGAGCTGGAGAGGGCTGGAGAGATTTCTAGCCGGAGCCCTGTCAGGGAGGAAATTGTGGATTGAAGAGGACGTGGACACCATGAGAAGGGTCAATGAGGAATGAAATGCTTTGCCTCAGCATTGGAAGATCACTCAGGGACAGGCACCGTGGCTCATGACTATCATCCCAGCACTTTGGGAGCCCGAAGCCGGGGGATCATTTGAGGCCAGGAGTTCAAGACCATCCTGGACAACATAGTGAGACCCTGTCTCTACAAAAAATTAAAAAATTATCTGGGCATGGTAGTGTGCACCTGTAGTCCCAGCTACTTGGGAGGCTGGAGGCAGGATGACCACTTGAGCCCAGGAGTTCGAGGCTGCTGTGAGCTGTGATCACACCGTGGCACTCCAGCCTGGGTGAAACAGTGAGACTCTGTCTCTGGAAGAAAAAAAAAAATCACTCAGACTGTAGCCTACAGACCAGACCACGGGGCCCAACGTGAGAAAAGCAGGGAGCCCAGTGAGGAAGCTCCTGGTATCAGAGAGAGATGAGGCGGCCAGGTTGAGGGTGGGAGCTGGACATTGGGCAGGCACTCAGTGTCTCATATATCCTGAAGGAGAGGCCATGGGGCTTAGGACAGGCTGGATGTGGTGTGCTGGTCACAGAGGAGTCAGGGACTGCCCCAGAGGGAAGCTATGTTAAAAGAACAGCCCCTCTGAGAACCTGGGCACCACGTTGCCTTGAGAGTTGTTTACACAATCTGGTGTCTCTTCAGCAGTTTTCGACAGAAATTTTTTGAACAGAAAATTTTATCCCATAGGACTAACAACTTGGACAATCAATTCATTTACTTATTCTTTCTCATATTTACATCTGATGTTCCTTTCTTTTGCAGATTTTGTTAAGACTTGAATTAAATATGTAGTCAAGTTAAACTGTGCTCACTTAGAATGCAGCCAGTAATTTTTTAAGTTTAGCAAACAAACAAATGTTAGAAGGGAAAGACCAAATCTGAGGAAGAATGAGAGAAAGATCGGGGGAGGAATTTTGTTAAAGGAAGAGGGAACTTACAAGTATTGTGATTCGAAAATATTAGCAATAATTGGAGTAAAGAACTCAGTAGTTTACCTTAACGTTCACTCTTGGGTTTGTACATTCTGTGAGTTTGGACGAGTATAAAATGGCATGTAGCCACCATTACTGTATCATACAGAGTAGTTCTGCTGTCCTAAAAATCTATTTATCTCTCCCTTCCCTGAACTGGCAATCATTGATCTTCCAACTTCACAGTTTTGCCTTTTCCAGAATGTCATATAGTTGGAATCATACAGTCTGGGTCTTTTCTGATGGGGCTTCTTTTACTTAGTACAATGCAGTCAAGCTTCCTCCACGTCTGTTCATGGCTTGATGGATGATTTTTTTTTTTTTAGCACTGAATAATATTCCATTGCCTGGATATTGCACTGTTTAGCCATTTGCCTTTGAAGGACACCTTGATTGCTTATAGTTTGGGGCAATTGTGAATAAAGTTGCAATAAACATTCATGTGTTGTTTCTTGTGTGGATACAAGTTTTCAACTCCTTTGGGTAAATACCAAGAAGTACAATTGCTAGATCATATGGTAAAAGGATGTTTAGTTTTGTAAGAAACTGCTAAACTGTCTTCCAAAGTAGCTATACCATTCTGCACTCCTACAAACAATGAATGGGAGTTTTTGTTGCTCCATATCCTTGTCAGCATTTGGTGTTGACAGTGTTCTGGGTTTTAGCCATCCTGATAGGTATGAAAGGCTAGAATATTTTTAGTAATAGGACAGAACATTCCAATTGTAGGGTTAATAATAGTTGTTTTAATCTCTAGTATAGTTTTTATAATTAAATATCCTGCAATAGCTTTTAGTTTAGAGAACCACCCGTCATCATGAAATCATAATTCACTCATGCAAATTTGAGAGATAAAATCATCCTTTCACTAAAACCATCAGTACTCTTATTATATAAACATAGCATTACAACAAAAAATGCTGTTATGTCAAATCAAAGTAAATGCAATTTAAACTTCTTCTTAGCCCCATCTTTCCTTTAATACATGTATTGTTACACCCCATAGAGCAAAAGAAAAAAACCAGTGCACACAATATAGAGTAATAATGTTTAGTGATGTTGTAGGGAATTTAAAAGGTAAGAAAAGGAGGATGCTGTGATAATTCCTCAAGAGGTGATTGGGGCCAGATGAGGTAGCTCAATCCTGTAATCCCAGCACTTTGGGAGGCCAAGGTGGGTGGATGACCTGAGGTCAGGAGTTCAAGACTAGCCTGGCCAGTATGGTGAAACTGCGTCTCCAGTAAAAATACAAAAATTAGCTGGGCGTGGTGGTGGGCGCCGGTAATCCCAGCTACTCGGGAGGCTGAGGCAGGAGAATCACTTGAACCGGGGAGGTGGAGGTTACAGTGAACAGAGATTGATCCACTGCACTCCAGCCTGGGCAACAGAGTGAGGCTCTGTCTCAAAAAAAAAAAAAAAAAAAAAAGAAAGAAAGAAAGAAAAGAAAGAGGTGATTGGGAGCTCTAAGAAGAAACTCCTTTGACTCCGATTTTGGGGAAGGAAAAAGTATTAGTTATCTCTGAGATGAATAGCTGAGGTCATTATTGATCCATTTGATGGGGCTAAGTGGCATCTTGGAAAAAAAGACCCTCAAGCAGAAAACAGAAAACCTCTGTAACTCTTCGGGCTTCAGTTTCCTTTACAAAAAAAAAAAAAAAAAAAATCAAACAACAAAAAACAGAATTGAAATTGATGGTACACATTATTTTTGCTTCTCTGTTATATAAAAACTTAATAATTTCTTAACTAAAACTAGGCATGGCACTATTATGGTACTCAAGGAAATTAACAATGGGCAGTTCAGCTTCTGGCACTGGTGGAAAATAAGCTAACACGGGTGTGAGAAAGGCAGATGCAGGAGCCCCGAGCTCACCTACACGCTAGGGACCAGTGGGTAAAAACTGGAGGCACCTCAACAAGCCCCACACAGCCCCTGTGAGCTTCCTGTGGGGCTTCAGCCATCCAGGGGCTCCTAAAAAGTAAAAGTTCTAGTATTTGTACATGGTTATTTCCAAAATAACGTGGATGCTAACAATTTTTTGAGGAACATTTACTTTCACAGAATTACAACTCCATCTTGCTGTTGCCAATCATGTTGGGGAAAATACAGTGTTTTTCTTAGAAAACCAGGCAATCTATGTGGAAACTCTCATCCCATGGTGATCTGCCTGTACAGTCTTTGTGAGATCACTTCAATACAAGGAATGTAAAATAAAAAATTAAAATAAAAAAATTTAATGATTGGCCAGGCATGGTGGCTCATGCCTGTAATCCCAGCACTTTGGGAGACCAAGGCGGGCGGATCACGAGGTCAGGAGATCGAGACCATCCTGGCTAACACGGTGAAACCCTGTCTCTGCTAAAAATACAAAAAATTAGCCGGGCGTGGTGGCGGGCGCCTGTAGTCCCAGCTACTCGGGAGGCTGAGGCAGGAGAATGGTGTGAACCTGGGAGGCGGAGCTTGCAGTGAGCCGAGATGGCACCACTGCACTCCAGCCTGGGCGACAGAGCGAGACTCCATCTCAAAAAAAAAAAAAAAAATTAATGAATTATATTATATCCCTCATCCCCCCAACCCCTATTAAAGATCACTGGAATTATTTTGAAATGTTTTCACACTCACGTAACATACTTTTGACAAAGGAATTTTATGGTATTTGAACTAGATGAATACTTTTGGTCAATATCAATGAGGGTGTGTTTATCCAATATGAGCAGCGGCATAGCAGGACACCAAACGCTGCCTGCATCAACGAAGGCCACACGCAGTTCACCTCTGTAACTGCAATCGATTTCTCAGAGAAGTAAGTCAAGACGAAATCATTCACTAAAGCCACATATTGAGTTTAAAAAGAAAAACCTAGCAGCTTTCTAAAACTGAAGCTTCAACTTCTAAAAATGTTAATTTTACCTACTAAAAACCCCTTACCTTTTAGAGCTTAAGGTTAAAAAAAAATCTAATGTAACAATATGTAACCGGGTCTCATCTATTTCACTACTTTTTTTTTTTTCTCATGGGAAAAACCAGGAGATTTATGGAATCTACCCAAGAGATTAAGCAGATATCCAATGTTCAGCCTCGGATGTATATCACAAAGTTCTATAACTCCCATCTGGTTATCATAAGAATAAAAGGTTAAAACCTGGGGTTTTATTGTTACTTTAAACAATAAAATATTTTATTTGAAATAAGAAAACTGAAAGCCAATTTAGGGAGGCAGTCTGATGTCCCTGGAGCAAATGTGAATTTCCTTCAGTTTGGAAATAATAATAAAGTGTGACATATGAAAGAAGAAAATGCTTTCTTCCTTTACAGAAACTATGAGCAAACATCTCTAGGCTCAGGCCGGCTATCTTGCCTCTCTCTTGCCTCATAGCCTGGAATTTACCCCCACAAGTCCACCCTCGGTTTTCTTTAAACTTCAACTTCCAGTTGACTTGGAAGTCTTCTTCATCCTGCCCAAGATATAAGGACATACATAGCTTGCTTTCTTAAGAGGAATTTTCCATGTTTCCCAGTGAACAATGACCTAACCATCCTTTAAGTTTTACTGAACACATCTGAGGTTGATACTTTTGAAGGAGTTTGAATATTTGGCCAAATTTTCATCTTGTAGTTTACCATATGCTGAAATACTTAGTCTATTCTCACTAATCTATTCATTCTAGAGTATAAATTACCAAAGGTATTTTAAATTATTACCTCTCTGAAAGATATTATACATTGACGGATGGAGAGAATCACTTTTTAAAAAGTATTTGAGGCTGGGCACAGTGACTCACGCCTGTAATCCCAACACTCTGAGAGGCGAATCACTTGAGGCCAGGAGTTCGAGATATGTCTGGGCCAAAATGACGAAACCCCATCTCTACTGAAAATACAAAAATTAGCATGGTGTGGTGGCACATGCCTGTGATCCCAGCTACTCTTGAGGCTGAGGCAGGAGAATTGTTTGAATCCGGGAGGTGGAGGTTGCTGTGAACCGAGACTGCACCACTGCACTCCAGCCTGGGTGACAGAGCAAGACCGTGTCTCAAAATGAATAAATTAATTAATTAAATAAAAAGTATTTCAGAATCTATAAGTGTTATGCTGTGCCAGTTCTTAGAAGCTGCATATAGGATGGCCGGGCGCGATGGCTCACGCCTGTAATCCCAGCACTTTGGGAGGCCGACGTGGGGGGATCAAGAGGTCAGGAGATCGAGACCATCCTGACTAACATGGTGAAACCCCGTCTCTACTAAAAATACAAAAAATTAGCCGGGCGTGGTAGTGGGCGCCTGTAGACCCAGCTACTCGGGAGGCTGAGGCAGGAGAATGGCGTGAACCCGGGAGGCGGAGCTTGCAGTAAGCCGAGATCGCGCCACTGCACTCCAGCCTGGGCGACAGAGCCACACTCCGTCTCAAAAAAAAAAAGAAGAAACTGCATATAGGATACAAGTTCTGTGAAATGATACGCAAAATATTAGAAGACATTTAAAACTTTTCCCTATGATTACCAAGGTTCTAAAAACTTCCTTATCAAGGACGTACTTATCAAGCCCTCCTTTATCGAGGACTTCTCAGGCTTCTGCACCCACCCCCACTCAACCTACTGAATCTATAGTCACGTGTGGAAAGTGGGAATCTGAGCGCTCAACTAAAGACCAAAACTTGAAAATGTAACAATAAAAAATCACAGATGACAGTTCCAGACCTTCCTACTGGTGTAGAAGAATTTATAAGAATTGTGAGAGTGATGGTCACAAAATAATCAATGAATTAAGAAAAGAACAATGATGCAAACCTTCAGACTGAAACAGATTTGCCTTTAGCTATTTTATGGTAAGACTTCCAAAATGCCAAGACTAAAGAGAAAAAAAATCCTCAAAGCTTCCTCAGAGAAAATAACAAACTACTTACAAAAACATAAGAAGTAAATAGAAAACTCATAGAGCAATTCTTTTGAAGTTCTGAAAGTAAAGGATTTTTAAACTAGGTTTCTATTCCTGGCCAAAATTCATTCAAGCGTACAGCACATTTTTAGACCTGTGAGGACTCAAAAAATTTGACCCCTACAAACCTCTATGAAAAAATAAAGAGGCTGTACTTCAGCAAAATAATAATAAATTATATAAGAAAGAGCAGTAAATACAAAAAACAGTAAAATATATAGTTAAGTAATTTTTGATGGCTCTAATTAATGAATAAATAATAATCTGGAGCTAAAATCACATTTATGATTTTTGGGCAACATAGTGGGACTCTGTCTCCAAAACTAAATAAATAGAAAGAGGCCCAGTGCGGTGGCTCACGCTTGTAATCCCAGCACTTTGGGAGTCCGAGGCTGGCAGATCATGAGGTCAGGAGTTCAAGATCAGCCTGGCCCATATAGTGAAACCCCGTCTCTACTAAAAATACAAAAAATTAGCCAGGCCTGGTGGTGCACACCTGTAGGTTCAGTTACTCAGGAGGCTGAGGCAGGAGAATCACTTGAACCCGGAAGGCGGAGATTGCGGTAAACCGAGATCGCACCACTGCACTCCAGCCTGGGCAAGAGAGCGAGATTCTGTCTCAAAAAAAAAAAAAAAAAGAAAAGAAAAGAAAAGAAGAAAAAAGGCCCAATAATAGGCAAGAATATTTGAAAAAGAGGTACAATGGCCAGGCATGGTGGCTCACCTCTGTAATCCAGAACTTTGGGAGGCTGAGGCGGGTGGATCACCTGAGGTCAGAAGTTCAAGACCAGCCTAGCCAACACGGTGAAACCCGGTCTCTACTCAAAATACAAAACTTAGCCGGGCATGGTGGCAGGTGCCTGTAATCTCACCTACTCAGGAGGCTGAGGCAGGAGAATCACTTGAACCTGGGAGGTGGAGGTTGCAGTGAGCTGAGATTACGTCACTGCACTCCAGCCTGGGCGACAAGAGTGAAACTCTGTCTAAAAAAAAAACAAAAAAACAATGAATGGCAGTTTGTTCTGTCAATATTAAGGTGAATTATAAAACTGTTGAAAACAGCACAGAGTGGAACTGTTACAGGAATAAACAAATTGATAAGTAGCGCGGAATAGAGAGTACAGAAACAGCCATGTTTGTTTGGAAATGTAGCATGTTTATTAACTTATTCTACATGTGTTTAATGAACAACAGGCATTGTGCACAGCATAACAACCAAAACAGTCCATATCCTTGGGTCAAAGAGGTTATAGTCTAGTGAGGCGGGGCAAGACAATCAGCCAGAATAGATGAGTCAACATCATTGGAAATTCGAGAGGAGAAATATTATGGAGAAAAAAACGTTGAGGAAGAAAGAGAATGATAGGGGTAACATGCAATTTTAAGTACGTGATGTGCATGATCCTCTCTGGTCAGGAGGCATTGATGCAAAGGTTTGAAGGAGGACAGAGACTCTCCTAGGCAGACATTTGGCAGAAGGACACCCAGGCCATGGAACCAGCACTGACCTGTTTCTGGATGGGATAGTACCTGGCCTGCTAGAGGAACGGAGAGAACAGTGTGTCTGCGTATAATGAGGGTAGCATTCTGAATGAGTGGAAAGAGAATGAACAACTCAACAAATGGTTTTGGAACAAATAAATATCTCTTTGGAACTTGTATATTATCTATCCTACCCTACACCATACACACACAAAAAGAGATTCTAGATGGATTATGGAACTAAATGCAGTGACTTCCAGTTAAAGATGGTGAATTGAGCACCTTCATCTATGCTGGCTCCTTCCCCAAAACTTATTAAGATGACAGGATGTAGCAGGACAAGCCGCACACAAAACCCCTCACACACCGAGTTAAAGAAGGAAGGGCTTTTTTCAGCTGGGAGCTTTGGCAAGACTCACAACTCCAAAAACCAAGCTCCCCAAGTGAGCAATTGCTGTCCGTTTTAAGGGCTTACAACTCTAAGGGGGTCCGCGTGAGAGGATCCTGATCAATTGAGCAAGCAGTGGGTATGTGACTGGGGGATGCATGCTCTGGTAATCAGAACGGAACAGAACAGGACAGGGATTTTCACAGTGCTTTTCTATACAATGTCTGGAATCTATAGGTAACATAACCGGTTAGGCCAGGGGTCGATCTTTAACCAGGCCCACCACGCAGCACCAGGCTGTCTGCCTGTGGATTTCATTTCTGCCTTTTAGTCTTTACTTCTTTTTTTGGAGGCAGAAATTGGGCATAAGACAATATGAGGGGTGGTCTCCTCCCTTAAGGAGATTTTTCTTTGTAAAGACATAAACTTACAAAGAGACAACAACAAAATATTTGGAAGGTAGAAAGCAGAAGGATGCATAGAAGTTGGCTTAGCAGAACCTGGAAGGCTGAGTTTTGTGACAGCAGTGGGAAAGTCCAAGAGGCACCTGACTTAAAATCCAGAATCCCCAATGGCTCAGAAATGGTGAACGCCATGGACCTCCAGGAGGAAAGGAGAAGAGTGGGCTATAAATCAGAAGGCTGGCTTCAGATCTTTTTTTTTTTAGACAGAGTCTTGCTCTGTTGCCCAGGCTGGAGTGCAGTGGCACGATCTCGGCTCACTGCAAGCTCCGCTTCCTGGGTTCATGCCATTCTCCTGCTTCAGCCTCCTGAGTGGCTGGGACTACAGGCACCCGCCACCACGTGTGGCTAATTTTTTGTATTTTTTAGTAGAGACGGGGTTTCACCGTGTTAGCCAGGATGGTCTCAATCTCCTGACCTCATGGTCCGCCCACCTCGGCCTCCCAAAGTGCTGGGATTACAGGCGTGAGCCACCGCGCCGGGCAGCTTCAGATCTTTTTAAGGAGTTTCACAAACAGATTCTATCCTGCCAAGACCAGCTCGGTTGGGGAGACCCTAACCCAGCTCAGTAGAGGAATTAAAGACAACACATACAGAAATATAGAGGTGTGGAGTGGGAAATCAGGGGTCTCACAGCCTTCAGAACTGAGAGCCCTGAACAGAGATTTACCCATGTATTTATTGACAGCAAGCCAGTGATAAGCATTGATTCTATAGATTATAGATTAACTAAAAGTATTCCTTACAGGAAACAAAGGGATGGGCCAAAGTAAAGGGATGGGTCTAGCTAGTTACCTGCAGCAGGAGCATGTCCTTAAGGCACAGATCACTCATGCTATTGTTTATGGTTTAAGAACACCTTTAAGGCCAGGCCTGGTGGCTCACGCCTGTAATCCCAGCACTTTGGGAGGCTGAGGCGGGCAGATCAAGAGGTCAGGAGATCGAGACCATCCTGGCTAAAATGGTGAAACCCCATCTCTGCTAAAAATACAAAAAAAAAAAAAAATAGCCGGGCATGGTGGTGGACACCTGTAGTCCCAGCTACTCGGGAGGCTGAGCCAGGAGAATGGCTTGAACCCGGGGGGCAGAGCTTGCAGTGAGCCGAGATCGTGCCACTGCACTCCAGCCTGGGCATCAGAGTGAGACTTCGTCTCAAAAAAAAAACAAAAACAAAACAGGGATTCCTCCAACAAGACAATTCCTTCAGACTACCATACTGTGTGAAAGTCGCCGTGCACAAAAACCTCTTAAATATCACCAGACAGCCAAAATCACAGGACATTTGGAGAAACCCACTAAGGTGATTGATGGGAAGAAGTAAACAGAAGGCTGTGGGAAGAAACAGAGGCTGTGTAGGAAAAAGAAAGATTTAGAAAATCATTAATATCAGGCCAGGAGTGGTGGCTCACACCTGTAATCCCAGCACTTTGGGAGACTGAGGTGGGTGGATCACGATGTCAGGAGTTCGAGACCAGCCTGACCAACATGGTGAAACCCCGTCTGTACTTAAAAAAAAAAAAAATACAAAAATTAGCCAGGTGTGGTGGCACACGCCTGTAATCCCAGCTACTCAGGAAGCTGAGGCAGGAGAATCACTTAAATCTGGGAGGCCGAGGTTGCAGTGAGCTGAGATCACACCACTGCATGCCAGCCTGGGTGACAGAGCGAGACTCTGTCTCAGAAAAAAAAAAAAAGAAAAGAAAATTATTAATATCCTCAGAAACAAAACAAAAAACCAAAACCTTAGAAATAAGCCATAACAAAGGAGCTGATAGAGAACCATAAATTTAAAATATATCAGAAAAGTCACACTAGATTTATATATTTGACAACATTGAAACTAAGAACTTCTGTTCATCAAAACACACCATCACAGGAGTGAGAGGCAGCTGACAGAGTAAAAGACAATATCTGCAATTTTATATCCAATGAAGTACTTGTATCCAGAATATATGAAGAACTTCTACAAACAAATTTTAAAAAAATGGAAAGCCAATAAAAAATTGGGCAAAAGTTTGAACAGGTGCTTTACAAAGGAGAATATTCTGATGGGTATGAAAGGTACTCAGCTTTAGGAAAATGTAATTAGAGCCACGATAATATTCCATCAACCCGAACAGCTAAAGTGAAGAACAAACAAACAATACCAAGGACTCTCATACACTACTGGAGGGAGTGTAAATTGGTAAAACCCGTTTTTGGAAAATCATTTGGCAACATCCCCTAATTCTGAACATATGAGTACTCTATAACCCAGTAGTTCCACTACTAGGTATATATCTAGCAGAGATGCACATATATGTAAACCAAAAGACATGTGCAAGAATTATCACAGCAGCACTATCCATAAAAATTGGAATCAATTGTCTATCAGCAGCAGAATGAACAAGTGCATTGTGGTTTATTCACACAATAGAATACCATGCGGACAAGAAAACAAACACAAGTGTCTTAGTCTGCTTTATGCTGCTATAACAGAATACCACAGACTGGATAATTTATAATGAAAAAAATATATTTGGCTCAAAGTTCTGGAGGCTAGGAAGTCCAAGATTGAAAGACTACATCTGGTGAGGGCCCTCTTGCTGTGTCATAACATGATGGAGGAGATTGTCATTCTGTTGCTGATAGACAAGCGATTTACTGGCTTTCCATCTTTTTAAAATTTATTTGTAGAAGTTCTTTATATATGCTGGATACAAGTACTTCCTTGGATAAAAAATTGCAAATATTTTCTGTTATTCTGTTGTCTGCCTCTCACTCCTGTGATGGTGTATTTTTTTTTAACACTTTAGGGTACATGTGCACAACGTGCAGGTTTGTTATGTATAGATACATGTGTCATGTTGGTGTGCTGCACACATTAACTCATCATTTACATTAGGTATATCTCCTAACGCTATCCCTCCCCCCTCCCCCCGCCCCACGACAGGCCCCGGTGTGTGATGTTACCCTTCCTGTGTCCAAGTGTTCTCATTGTTCACTTCCCATCTATGAGTGAGAACATGCGGTGCTTGATTTTTTGTCCTTGCGATAGTTTGCTGAGAATGATGGTTTCCAGCTTCATCCATGTCCCTACAAAGGACATGAACTCATCCTTTTTTATGGCTGCATAGTATTCCATGGTGTATATGTGCCACATTTTCTTAATCCAGTCTATCATTGTTGGACATTTGGGTTGGTTCCAAGTCTTTGCTATTGTGAATAGTGCTGAAATAAACATACGTATGCATGTGTCTTTATAGCAGCATGATTTATAATCCCTTGGGTATATACCCAGTAATGGGATGGCTGGGTCAAATGGTATTTCTAGTTCTAGATCCTTGAGGAATCGCCACACTGTCTTCCACAATGGTTGAACTAGTTTACAGTCCCACCAACAGTGTAAAAGTGTTCCTATTTCTCCACATCCTCTCCAGCACCTGTTGTTTCCTGACATTTTAATGATCGCCATTCTAACTGATGTGAGCTGGTATCTCATTGTGGTTTTGATTTGCATTTCTCTGATGGCCAGTGATGATGAGCATTTTTTCATGTGTCTGTTGGCTGCATAAATGTCTTCTTTTGAGAAGTGTTTGTTCATATCCTTCGCCCACTTTTTGATGGGGTTGTTTGTTTTTTTCTTGTAAATTTGTTTGAGCTCTTTGTAGATTCCGGATATTAGCCCTTGGTCAGAAGAGTAGATTGCAAAAATTTTCTCCCATTCTGTAGGTTGCCTGTTCACTCTGATGGTAGTTTCTTTTGCTGTGCAAAAGCTCTTTAGTTTAATTAGATCCCATTTGTCAATTTTGGCTTTTGTTGCCATTGCTTTTGGTGTTTTAGACATGAAGTCCTTACACATGCCTATGCCCTGAATGGTATTGCCTAGGTTTTCTTCTAGGGTTTTTATGGTTTTAGGTCTAACATTTAAGTCTTTAATCCATCTTGAATTAATTTTTGTATAAGGTGTAAGGAAGGGATCCCGTTTCAGTTTTCTACATATGGCTAGCCAGTTTTCCCAGCACTATTTATTAAGTAGGGAATCCTTTCCCCATTTCTTGTTTTTGTCAGGTTTGTCAAAGATCAGATGGTTGTAGATGTGTGGCATTATTTCTGAGGGCTCTGTTCTGTTCCATTGGTCTATATCTTTGTTTCAGTACCAGTACCATACTGTTTTGGTTACTGTAGCCTTGTAGTATAGTTTCAAGTCAGGTAGCATGAAGCCTCCAGCTTTGTTCTTTTGGCTTAGGATTGACTTGGCAATGTGAGCTCTTTTTTGGTTCCATATGAAATTTAAGGGAGTTTTTTCCAATTCTGTGAAGAAAGTCATTGGTAGCTTGATGGGGATGGCATTGAATCTATAAATTACCTTGGTCAGTATGGCCATTTTCACGATATTGATTCTTCTTATCCATGAGCATGGAATGTTCTTCCATTTGCTTGTGTCCTCTTTTATCTGATGAACATTGATGCAAAAATCCTCAATAAAATACTGGCAAACTGAATCCAGCAGCACATCTAAAAGCTTATCCACCATGACCAAGTAGGCTTCATCCATGGGATGCAAGGCTGGTTCAACATATGCAAATCAATAAACGTAATCCAGCATATAAACAGAACCAAAGACAAAAACCACATGGTTATCTCAATACATGCAGAAAAGGCCTTTGACAAAATTCAACAGCCCTTCATGCTAAAAACTCTCAATAAATTAGGTATTGATGGGACGTATCTCAAAATAATAAGAGCTATTTATGACAAACCCACAGCCAATATCATACTGAATGGGCAAAAACTGGAAGCACTCCCTTTGAAAACTGGGACAAGACAGGGATGCCCTCTTTCACCACTCCCATTCAACATAGTGTTGGAAGTTCTGGCCAGGGCAATCAGGCAGGAAAAAGAAATAAAGCGTATTCAGTTAGGAAAAGAGGAAGTCAAATTGTCTCTGTTTGCAGATGACATGATTGTATATTTAGAAAACCCCATTGTCTCAGCCCAAAATCTCCTTAAGCTGATAAGCAACTTCAGCAAAGTCTCAGGATACAAAATCAATGTGCAAAAATCACAAGCATTCTTATACACCAATAACATACAAACAGAGAGCCAAATCATGAGTGAACTCCCATTCAGAATTGCTTCAAAGAGAATAAAATACCTAGGAATCCAACCTACAAGGGATGTGAAAGAGCTCTTCATGATGTGCTTTGATGAACAGGAGTTCTTGATTTTAATGTCGTCAAATATATGGATCTAGTGTGACTTTTCTGATATTATATTTTAAATTTGTGATTATCAGCGCCTTTGTTATTGTTTATTTCTAAGGTTTTTGTTTTGTTTCTGAGGATATTAATTATTTTTTAAGGTTTTAAAGAATTAGTTGACCAACTTCAGAAGGGCCAACTTCCAATAAAGAGAGTTTCTGAGAGTGAACTGAAAAAATGGTAGCAGGAGGAATCAAAAAATAATTCAAGAAGATATATCATAACTGAAGAATTTGACTTGCCAAATGAAAAGGATCCACCAAATGGGGAGCACATTAAATGAGATTTGTCCCCCTTCAAACACATCATTAGTGACCTTCAGAATCCTGGGAACGGAAAGATGACTTTCCAAGTTTCCTTAGAGGAAAAGCAGGTCAAATGCAAAGAGTAGGAATCAGAATGGCTTTGAAATTCTCAACAGCAACAGTAGAAGCTAAAAAACAATGGAGGATTATCTTCAACATTCGGATTGCCTATAGATTCTTCAATACCCAGACAAAGTATGAATTAAATGTGAAGATGGAATAAAGACATATTTAGACATGAAGAAGTTGCAAAATTTACTTTCTATTCTATTGTCTCTGGAAGCTGAGAGGATGTTGTTGATCAAAATGAGGAAATAAAACAACAAAGAACATGATTAGCATTCAGAAAACAGTGGGTTCCAAACAAAGGAGAGATGAAGGGAGTCCTCAGGACAGGACAGGAGAAAGAGTCCAGGATGCCAGCCACAAGCAGGCTTGGAGAACAGACAGCCCAGAACTCTAGAATATTTTTTCAAGAAGACAATAATAGTGCTAATGTGTTTGAACACATTGAGAGAAGCTTTTCATGACTGAAGTAGAACTTGAAATGCGTAAGTGATAAATATATAGAAAAATAAGCAACCAACAAAAGATTATTATTAACTCAAGAACAAACATAAATTTGTTAGAAACTGTAGGGTAGTGGCCACACCTACAGAATACAGATCCAGAATGCCTGGGGTTCAAATTCTGGTTTTGCCACTTAACGGCTGAATTACCTTGGGCAAATCACTTCATCTCCATGGTCCTCATATATAAAATCAGGATTATTATAACAGTCTTGTGAAAGTTTTGTGAAAATTAAAGTCCTTGGATCTTTTTCTGGCCCAGAGAAAGCCCCATGTAAATGTTAACGGTCTTTATTTTTTATTTTATTTATTTTTTTAGAGACTGGGTCTGGCTGTGTTGCCCAGGATGGAGTGCAGTGGTGCGAGCTCAGCTCACTGCAGCCCTGACCTCCCGGGCTCAGGCAATTCTCCTGCTTCAGCCTCCTGAGTAGCTAGGACTACAGGTGTGCACTGCCACACTCAGCTGATTTTTTTTTTTTTTTGTAGTAACAAGGTCTTGCTGTGTTGCCCAGGTTGTATTAACTATTGTGGTTGTCACGACCACTACCACCGTCACCATCATCATTGTATATAGTCCATGGTTCAGCTGGAAAGGTGCAACTAATAAAAATGCTGACTACTAAGCTTAAGAAAAAAATGTCTATTTAATTAGATTGGGAGAAAGTGAAGACAGAAATTGCTTGTCAGGTTAGGAAAGGGAAGGAGGGAAGGAGATAAATCATCTTCCACATTGGGAAGTCTTAGAGAAATTTTTAATCTGCAAAACCAAATAAGTAACAATATAGGCATTTTTGTTGAAGACATGGAGGAAGATATCAAAAGGTTAGCTAAGAAAGTTTACAAGAGTTGCTCTGTGGGAGTGGGAAATGGGTGAATAGACAAGACACAGGGAACTTATTCTTTGTAACAATCTTCGTCAATTAGATGTATAGATATTTTAATTCTAAAATTAAAACAACGTTTTTCTTTGAAAAAGAAATCGCCATGTCAAGTTGTTTCACTGGATAATTCTGTTTAAGGAAGAATCAATGCTAACAATAAGCAATTTTTTCCAGATAATATAAGAAGAGAAAATATTTCCCTTCTCATTGTATGGGACCAGTATCACACTAATACCAAAACCAGACAAAGAATTACAAAAAAAGAAAATTACAGATCAATATCCTTCATGCATGTAGACATAAAAACCTTTAAACAAGTATTAACAAATAGGCTTCAGTGATTTTTAAGAAGAATTACACACCATAACTAAATGAAGCTTATTCCAGAAATGCAAGGTTGGTTCAATATTAAAAAATCAGTCAATGTAATCCACCACATTAACAGAATAAAATTCACATGATGTTATCAATTGATGCAGTAAAGTATTTGACAAAATTTGTTTATTTAAATAAATTTTATTGTGTACAAACATGATGTTATAAGATACATATATAAGAAAATGGTTACTATAGTGAAACAAATTAACATCTCCATCATCTCATTTAGTTATCCATAATTCCTCCTGTGGCAAAAACAGCTATAATCTACCCATTAAGGAAAAATCCTGAATATGATACCCTATTATTCACTGTAGTCTTCATGCTGTTCATTAGACCTTTCCACTTGTTCATTCTACATATTTATTTGCTACTTTGTATCTTTTGACCTAAACCTCTCCATTTCCTCCCCAACTCCAACCTTGGTAGCCACTGTTTTATTCTCTGTCTCTATATACTTGATCTCTTTTTTTCTAGAGACCCCACATAAGTGAGATCATGCAATATTTTTCTTTCTGTGTCTAGCTTATTTCACTTAGTATAATATGTTCCAAGTCCACCTATGTTGTGGCAAATGGCAGATCTTCCTTTTTGTTGTTGTTTTTGTTTTGTTTTTAGACAGGGTTTTGTTCTGTCACCCAGGCTAGAGTACAGTGGTGTGATCTTCGCTTACTGCAGCCTCGAACTCCTGGGGTCAAGCAATTCTCCTGCCTCAGTCTCCCTAGTAGATGGGACTACAGGCATACACCACCATGCCCAGCTAATTTTTATTTTTTTTTATAGATATGGGGCTCTCATATATTTTTTATAGATATGTTGCCCAACCTGGTCTTGAACTCCTGGCTTCAGGCTATTCTCACATCTTGGCTTCCCAGACTGCTGGGATTACAGGTGTGAGCCACTACACCCGGCCAAGATCTCCTTTTTTTTTTTTTTTTTTGAGACGGAGTGTTGCTCTGTTGCCCAGGCTGGAGTGCAGAGGTGCCATCTTGGCTCACTGCAAGCTCTGCCTCTCGGGTTCAAGTCATTCTCCTGCCTCAGCCTCTCGAGTAGCTGGGACTACAGGTGCCCACCACCATGCCCGGCTAATTTTTTGTACTTTTAGTAGAGACAGGGTTTCACTGTGTTAGCCAGGATGGTCTCGATCTCCTGACCTCGTGATCCACCTGCCTCGGCCTCCCCAAAGTGCCGGGATTACAGGCATGAGCCACTGCACCCAGCCCAAGATCTCCCTTTTTAAAGGCTAAATAATATTCCATTGTCTATTTATGCCATAGTTTATCCATTCATCCATTAATAGACACCTAGGTTGTTTTCATACGTTGGCCATTGCGAAAAATGCTGCAACATGGGTGTGCAGATATCCTTACCAGGTAGAGATTTCATTTCCTTTGGATATATGCCTAGAAGAGGGATTACTAGGCTGCATTTGACAAAACTTAATACCTTTCATGATTTAAAAAAAATTCTGAGAAAACTAGGAATAAAGGTGAACTCCCTCAACCTGATTAAAAAAAAAATTCCTGCAAAACATAACAGTGAAAGACCGAATGCTCTCCTCATGAAATCAGGAACACAGCAAAGGTCCCCACCCTCACTACTACTATTCAACTTAGTCCTGGAAGCTCTAACCCGTGCAAAAAGCAACAGAAGGAAATAAAAGACACAGTTACAGCCTATTCTCATTTAAATTTAGGGGTAGTTATGTTCCATAAAGTCATTGCAAACATCAACTTAGCAAAAGCTAAACCACAGGGTTAGGTTCCTTCCAGGCTCCAGACATAACATTTTCACCAACCAAAACACCATTTACTCTATATAGCTGTGTTTGCTAACGTCCTTGTAAAACAAGTAAGTCTCATCAGCGTTGAAAATTTGCTCTCCCAAATAACGCTTTTCCTATGTAACACTTAGAAGGTGTTTTTAAAGTTCTTCCATAGCCTCCCTATCTACAGAACCTGCCTCTCCTGCGAGGTTAACATTTTTCACACCACATTGCCTTTTGAAACATGCAAGCCAGCCCAGTACTAGCCAAGAGAGGTCTGGCATTTTCCTGACCCTGAGTAATGTGACTGCAAATTTCCTTGGCTTTCAGTCTCACAACTCTGTCCACTATGATTTGGGGGCTTGGGGATTTTCTTTAGTCATCAGCTAATGAATCCATAAATTTAGTTGCTTTTCTATCTTTTCTGTTGTTTCGTCATGCTCTATAGATATTACTTTAGCATTTTCTGGAGCAGCCTCAAGTGCAGATTGGTGAATTTCCTCTTCCTTTTTATGGATGAACCATATTTTTGATTCATTAACACTGAACTCACAATCAACAGCACTATATATAACTCATGCCGGAACTGAGCTTATCTAACACATGAATTTTCTCCATAAGGCACATTGCAGCCTTCTCACACTCAGGAACACTAGACATTTCAGCACTTTGCTGGGGACCATTTTAAATCGTGACATCACCAACAAAAAGCACACAAATGCAAAAACCATCCACCAATGTGTCCCCCTCAACTGCAAAGATGACAGCATATCCCAGTGTGTTTAGTGAGGGATGCAGACACTCCCGCAGCTTAAAAAGACAGACAGTTTGTCTCTGACCCTACTGCAGTTGTTGCCCGTGCTAAAAATATACAGCAATTCAAGAGGAAACAATGTGACTTAGATTTGGTACTGTTTGTTTTTCATTTTTAATGTTTTTACAAATAAGTTAAAAAATATATTACACAAAGTGGCCTTTAGATGAACCATGGGTTCATGATACATTTGCCTTGAGGTGGAAGCCAAATTCATTATCAGAAAGCTGTGAGCGGGAGAAAGTGTATGCTATGTACATATCAATGCATTTCTGAATTAGTGAGTCGGTTCAGTCAACAGGTATCGCCTGAGCACTGGATACTGCCTGGTGCGGAGCTGCAAAGACCAGCAGCAGGCCACTCCTCCCTCCAGCCACGCGCAGTCCAGCAGCAGGCACACCCCGAAGGCAGAAACCTTCACAGGGGATAAGCTGCCAGTCTGGGAAGAGGCAGAGGATTTCTCGAGGAGAATAGAACTACTCATGATGCTGAAGGAGTGAGGCTGGATTCACTCGGAGATGGCGTTCAGCTGGCTTGCAGTGTGCCTGGGCCTCAAGTAGGGAAGAAACACTTACCAGATAGAGAAGGGAATTAACCGGCTCAAAGAACCCAAAACTAAGGGCAGATTCAGTCAGACGCAGCGTGGCCCCGAGTCCAAATGGTGAACATCATTGTTCACTTCCTAGCTTATACATGTGACTGTTTCCTCCGGAATGGATAGGGAGACCTGGGGGGGCTGGGCCGGAAAGATCGCCTCCTCTCATCCTGATGAACCCCTCACACTTCTGCTCCTCGCGCCTGGCACGGAGTGACTCCCCACCCGCCACGCTAGGGCCCATGCGCTGGGCCGGATCATGCCTGACGCTAGCAGGCTCGCTGGGTCCTTCACCATCTTCCTACAGACACGGGGGCTCCCTGGGCCAGTAAGGTGACCTCTCACAGGGCAGCCCTGGGCCCCAGGAGCCCAAGGTGGGCCCTGGCAGTTCCCTGAACTGGCACAGTGTTCATTCTCTCATGCTTTATCGGCCGCAGCACTCACAGACCAGCCCTGATTCAGGGAACAAGGAAATAGACCCAGCTCTCCACGGGAGAAGGGTTCCGGTGTCTGCAGACACCATGAATTTGCCCTAGGGAGGATTTTTTTATTTTCCCCTCCCTTTTTTTTTTTTTTTGACATAGAGTCTCGCTTTGTCACCCAGGCTGGAGTGCAGTGGTGCAATCTCGGCTCACTGCAACCTCCGCCTCCCGGGTTCACGCCATTCTCCTGCCTCAGCCTCCCGAGTAGCTGGGACTACAGGCGCCCGCCACCACGCCTGGCTAATTTTTTTTTTTTTTTTGTATTTTTTTAGTAGAGACCAGGTTTCACCATGTTAGCCAGGATGGTCTCGATCTTCTGACCTCGTGATCCACCAGCCTCGGCCTCCCAAAGTGCTGGGATTACAGGCGTGAGCCACCGCGCCCGGCCGGGAGGATATTTTTAAGTAAACAAAGTTTACTTAAAACCTTGGGCGGGCACTCAGGGAAGGAAGACCCTAAATAGCTGAGAATGTTGTATATGGTACTTTGGCTGAGAATGTTCTCTATTGTACTTTGGCTGAGAATGTTCTATATAGCACTTCTCAAACATTTCTTCCTATCAGAATACTGCTACATATGAAGTAGAGTAAATGAAAAAAACAAAAAACCCAGAATACTCCTACTGACAGCAAGCCCACTGTGGACAGAGGCTGGGAATACAACCAGAAGCCCCACGTGAAAAGTGCCATACCATTTGTTTTCGGCAACAGTATACAGTAGACGTTTCTTTTACTAGAACAGAAGTGTTTCCATAGCCTGCTCCTGAGTGGATTCAGAGTCTCAGGGCCCATGCCCACCCAGCGTGCCCTGTGGCTTCACGGCTTCTGTCTTGGGCTGGCAGTGTCCCAATGGGGAGCACAGCAGTGGAAGCCATTTAGGGTCCTGGGAGATGCTGGTTGTAGGGTTTTAGAAATGTTACTCAAAGACATGCAAGGCGGACAGATGGAGCCTGGAGGTGACTCACAGACACATTTTGGGGAATTAGTAACAAATCACATGTTTATGTTTTCTTTAAAAAATTTTTTCTGGTTATACAAATATATGCTCATTAAACATTTCACACAATTTGTTATTTATTTATTTATTTTTGAGGTTAAGAGTGGAAGTCTAATGGGCAAAACAATGAGAAAAGCTCTCTCTGTTGCAGAGAGAGGGGACCTGGAGAAAACGGGTAGCCCCACACAATTTTTTTTTTTTGAGACGGATTCTCTGTTGCCACGATCTCCGCTCACTGCAACCTCCACCTCCCGGCTTCAAGCAATTCTCCTGCTTCAGCCTTCCAAGTAGCTGAGACTACAGGCACATGCCACCACACCCGGCTAATTTTTTGTATTTTTAGTAGAGATGGGGTTTCATCGTGTTAGCCAGGATGGTCTCTAGCTCCTGACCTTGTGATCCACCCGCCTCAGCCTCCCAAAGTGCTGGAATTACAGGTGTGAGCCACCGCACCTGGCCACCGCACACAATTTTTTAAAGCGTAAGAAAAACATCTGAAATCCTCTGTTAACCATGTTAACCTGTTGGTTTCCATCCTGTACCAATTTCTATGCATTTACACACACATACTTAATTTTACAAAAACGGGATCATAGCATAGTTGCCGTTTCTACTATACACACTTTCCTTTTTTGGCCACTTTTTGGGTACCTCCTTTAAACTCATTTAACCCCACTCCCCACCAAGTTAAGCCCATTCTTTCTATGTGCCTATAATTCTGTTAACATATTACAACACTTTAGGTGTTTTTTTTGTCATATTTGGCCAAAAAGGATTAATATTTTACTAATTTTTCTGTATCTTGCTTTTCTCACTCACAGTTTGGAAATTCCTCCACACCATACAGCATAGCTCTCACACATTCCTAAATGTTTACAACTAGTTCATGGAATGTACATCTCATGGTTCACAAGCCTTGACCAATGCATGGACAATCCCTTTGTTTCAGGCATTTTATCATGTGTTACTTGTAGAATGATGCTGCAATAAATATTACTATATAAATGTATACGTTGGTGTTTCTATTTTGGTTGCCTAAATTCTCACCGTGAGCCAGCTGTATTGCAGAACGCATACTTAAATCTTAATACATATTGCCAGATTACTCTCCAAACAGCAACAGTAATTCACAATTCCCTCAGCAATAAATGAATACCCTTTCTATATATTTTTGCCAGCAATAGAGGTTATCATTTTTTGTAATTTCTGTAAATTTGCATATCTGAATTTTAGTGTATCCTTGAAGATTATTTATTTCTATTTAATGACCATTCATATCTTTTGTCATCTTTTACTTTTTCTCTATTGCAAAAGTGTTCTTTGTATATTAATGCATTAATTATTTCTCTTTCATAGGCATTGCAAATACGTTTCCAATCTAACATTAGTCTTGACTTCTTTGGTATTTTTTGTTATTTAGATGTATATATCATTTATATATGTATATGCATGTGTATTATATATATACACAAAACAGATATTACATACATATGTATATAATTTTTATGGAATAACTATGTCTATCCAGAGTTTCTGGTTTTTAGTTTGAATTTAAAAAGGTCTCTCTAATCCCGGATTTACATATATTTTCTTAGATTATTTTCCTAACCATTGCCCTATATCACTGTTTACCTGTGCTTTATTCCATCTGTAATTTTAGTAGATGATGTTAAGAATAGGATTCACTTTTAACTTTTTCCAGATGGATAGTTTTGTGCCAAAACCGCTTACCAAATCACATTTTCCTCTGAGCTGACAGAGAGACCCTCCCTTGGGACACACTGATTGCCAAAGAACACCAGGATTTCTTTCTGTCCCCACAATCTCTCTGTCCATCCCAGTTTTATGACCAGACTTTCCTGATTACAAACTGTGTTTGCTTTTTTTTCTTTTTTTGAGACGGAGTCTTGCTCTGTGGCCAGGCTGCAGTGCAGTGGCACAATCTCGGCTCACTGCAACCTCTGCCTCCCGGGTCCTGGTAAGGGAGGAGAACACCCCTCATACTGTCTTATGCCCAATTTCTGCCTCCAAAGAAAGAAGAAGTAAAAACTAAAAGGCAGAAATGAAATCCACAGGCAGACAGCCCAGCGCCACACCCTGGGCCTGATAGTTAAAGATCGACCCCTGACCTAATTGGTTATGTTATCTATAGATTCCAGACATTATATGGAAGAGCACTGTGAAAATCCCTGTCCTGTTCTGTTCCATTCTAATTACCGGTGCATGCAGCCCCCAGTCACGTACCCGCTGCTTGCTCAATCCATCACAACCCTCTCACGCGGACCCCCTTAGAGTTGTAAGCCCTTAAGAGGGACAGGAATTGCTCACTCGGGGAACTCAGTTGTTGGGAGACGTGAGTCTTGCCGAAGCTCCCGGCCGAATAAAGCCCTTCCTTTTTTAACTTGGTGTCTGAGGGGTTTTGTCTATGGCTTGTCCTGCTACACCGGGTTCAAGCAATTCTCCTGCCTCAGCCTCCCGAATAGCTGGGACTACAGGCACGCGCCACCATGCCCAGCTAATTTTTGTGTTTTTAGTAGAGACAGGGTTTCACCATGTTGGCCAGGATGGTCTCAATCTTTTGACCTTGCGATCCGCCCGCCTTGGCCTCCTAAAGTGCTGAGACTACAAGCGTGAGCCACCTTTAGGTTTAGGTTTGCCTTTTTACCAACTCTGCACTGCGGCAGAACCTCCAGTGCTCGCCAGAAGTCTATTCTCGCTTCCCCTAGCAAAAGAGGCTGCATCTCCGGGCCTGGGTCTGGCCAAGGCGGTGGTCCTCACTGCTGCCCTGTGCCCCTTCCTGGAGCTGGGGAAGGCAACTGGGAGCGTGCCGGTAACAGCAACACCTGTGCCACGCCGGGCCTCCGACTGTGGCTTTAGAGCCGAGGCCTACCCATCCTGACGCGGCACCCGGACTCTGCGTGGAGGGAAATGAACTTGATTCTAAGGGCCTGAGTTTCAGGCGCTCTGTTGCTGAAGCCCAGCTCCCGCCAAAGGGAGAGGGAGAGGCGCACTTCACCTGCCGTTTGCTTTATTCTCATATTGATTTACCTCCGTATCTCCAAATAATCTGCTCGTTTCACCCTTTCTTGATTTATAACTCTGAAATACTATTAGCTTCAGGCAACTAAATATTAGACTCAAATACACTAACCAGACTTTCAATTCCCAATTTCCTTAGCAGAGGGCCCTCTAGGTTCCCCTTTCTCCCAAAGTCCCCTTCCCCCAAAACCTCCTGGCTCCATGGGCAGGGCTGGGTGCGGGGAGCTGCGGGCGGGGGCAGATGCAGCTGCCACAGCTCCTCCCCAGATTTCACGCCTCGCTGCTTTCACCCCCACCCCCGCAGCCTGGGGGATCATCAGGCACACCAGGAAGCCCTCCCCTCCTCTGCAGGCCTTGCACATGCATTGGGAGCTGTAGCTGTCCGCCTTTTTTCCTCCAACAATGCCTATGATCTATTTTCCAGCTTCCAAAAATAAATTGAAATTTCCCCATCAACTGTTAACGTCCCTTCCCATTCTTTTCACTCTTAGGGATTTTTTTCCTACAGATTTATTTTTCCATGCATTCCCCACTGCCCTCAGCCTTTTTGGTAACTGGGTCCAGGTCAGCCAAGCAGTGTTTAGGACACTGTTTCCTAAGCATTGGCGGTGGTGACCTAGTGGCACCAAGAATTCCCTCAGAAACTTAATAATGATGCAAACCCCCAAGTGTCCTCTGTAGTGGGTCTGGCATGGGCTCTGGAAACGGAGCGTTACATCCCTCCTGGGAGACTAAAGCATGTCTCACCTTGGGAACCATGGCGTGCAGAGTCTCTGCTAGCGGACACTTGGGGGCTGAATTGTACCGCTCCCACAAATTCCTATGTTGAAGCCCTAACAGCCAGGACCTCAGAATGTGGCTGTATTCGAAGATGGGGGTCTTTAGGCCGGGTGCGGTGGCTCATGCCTGTAATCCCGGCACTTTGGGAGGCTGAGGTGGGTGGATCACGAGGTCAAGAGATCGAGACCATCCTGGCTAACATGGTGAAACCTCGTCTCTACTAAAAATAAAAAAAAAATTAGCCTGGAGTGGTGGCGGGCGCCTGTAGTCCCAGCTACTCGGGAGGCTGAGGCAGGAGGATTGCTTGAACCAGGGAGGCAGAAGGTTGCAGTGAGCTGAGATCACGCCACTGCACTCCAGCCCGGGAGACAGTGCGAGACTCCGTCAAAAAAAAAAAAAAGAGGGGGGGTCTTTAAAGATCCCATTAAATTAAAATGAGTCATGGGACAGGCGCAGTGGCTCACACCTGTAATCCTAGTATTTTGAGAAGCCGAAACAGGTAGATCATCTAAGGTTAGGAGTTCAAGACAAGCCCGGCCAACATGGCGAAACCCTGTCTCTACCAAAAAAAAAAAAAAAAAAAGTAGCTGGGTGTTGGCCAGGTGCGGTGGCTCGTGCCTGTAATACCAGCACTTTGGGAGGCCGACACAGGCGGATCATGAGGTCAGGAGATCGAGACCATCCTGGCTAACACGGTGAAACCCTATCTCTACTAAAAATACAAAAAATTAGCCGGACATAGTGGCGGTTGCCTGTAGTCCCAGCTACTTGGGAGGCTGAGGCAGGAGAATGGCGTGAACCTGGGAGGCAGAGCTTGCAGTGAGCTGAGATCATGCCACTGCACTCTAGCCTGGGTGACAGAGCGAGGCTCTGTCTCAAGAAAAAAAAAAGAAAGAAAAAGAAACCAACAACAACAACAAAAAATAATAAAATAAGTCGTATGGCTGGGGCCTAATCTAACATGACTGGTGTCCTTATAAGAGGCAATTAGGACACAGACACACACAGAGGAAAGGCCATGTGAGGACACAGGGAGAAGAAGGCTGTCTACAAGCCGAGGAGAGAGGCCTCAGGAAAAAACAACCATGTGCACACCTTGATCTCAGACCTCCAGCCTCCAAGACTTAAAAAGGTAAATGTCTGTTGTTGAAGTCCCCAGATCTGGGATATGTTGTTACAGCAGCTCTAACAAACTAATACGACACTCCAATCAAGTGTTCTTAACAGCATGCTCAGAACTGCTGGGCTGGGGCCTTGGCTCTGAGATATTTAAGCCTCAGGTGGGGAGACCAGCCTTCCAGATAAGAGTGATTTTTAAAGCTAGCAAAGCCCCAGCTATACAGTGCTTACCTTTGCTTATATCACAGTTACAGAGTTTTTGCGTCAGTAACACTTGAAAACTCCTTGAAAGCATTTGTTATTCATAGGTAAAGTAGATGGTCTACAAATGAATGTGGTTAATAATTTTAACCTTGAGATATGATCTATTCTGAATTAGAATCATATTCTGAATTAGAAGCTTTACTAGATTTCTACTTTGCAAGGGGATTTTGCTGTGGAGTGTTTTGCAGATTCCCACTCACCTTAGCAATTTAATTCCACAAATGGATGTCGAGCTCCACCAGCTTTTTAATCACCCCACTTAGTAATGAAGTGAGTTAAATGAATTTATATCATCCCAGCCACTTGACATGCAATCATCAGACAGCCCAACAGTGCCAGGGGCCTGGTGGAAGAGCAGTGAGAATTACAGGAGCTTCAATCAGAAGAAGGCTTTGTGCAAAGGCTGCACAACCAAGACAGAGACAGAGACAGGAAGGAAGGGGCAACGAGACTAGCCTCCAGCAGAGACATCAGAGACATGGGACTGCTGGATCATGTGTACAGCACGTGTCATGGATGGGACCCATGAGGCAGGACTAAGGATTGCCTAGAAGCGAGTGAGCCCAAGGACAGCAAACGATGAGGGCAGGGAGCAGAGAGGAGAGGGAGGCATGGAGAGGTCCTCACTTCTTCCTCTACCCTGTCTTGACTGCAGGTGTCTTGAGGGCAGAAGCACCCCCAATGCTTCCTTCACCTTCCTGCAGCAAAAGGCAGCATGGATTGGGTGCTGAGCACAATGTTGGGTTCCACACTGCTCAATAAAGACAAGCTCTTTATCTGATCACTAGCCTGTGTGCATGATAAACACATGCTGACTTCAAGGAAGGTCAGTAGGTTGAAAAATGCATTGATGGGATGAATATAAGTTCTGTCTCTAGTGGGAACAGCTTCGCCTTCACTGTGCTGATGGCACACTTTTGGAGAAGTGCCAGTCACATGTTCTAAACCTCTGGCCAAATAGGTATTTTGGTAAACTAGGCCAAATACCCCATGGCCCTGGCCACAGTGGCTGGTCTAAGGCAGGGCAGCAAGGAACCCAAGTCATTGGGACCTTACAATGTGGCACTGGAGAGAAAGGCCGTGGCCCCTCCTGTCTCATTCAGAAAGAGATGATGCTAGATCTGCCACAGCCACATTCCCACCACCGTCTGCAGTTAGGAAATGAAACCAAAAAGAGACCAGCGGAGAAGGGAGGGAGCATCCTGGATACCCCACACTGCTGGGTCTATCAGCCTGAACTGTGTCCACCCCACACTTACCAGCTTGTGTGAGCAAGTGAATTCCCTCTTAGGTTTAAGCTGATTTGAGGTTTCACTCACACAGGATATGAGGCCTGGGGTGGGCTGTGGCACCTGACAGACCTTACAATACAGAAGAGACTGGATCAAGACAGGAGAAGGCTGGGCTCTCCCTACGTTAACCGCCCTCACAGAGAGGAGTAAAGCTGCTGGGAAACCCTCGCCTTTCGCCAACAGGGATTGAACCACATCCCTGCTGAACTTCATCCAGAGAGCAGTGGAAAACGCCAGAATATGAGGTGGTGCATCAGCCTTCTCCCGCCTTCAACTATGAGACAAGCCTCCCTTCAAACAGGCAGAAACAGGATGGAATTCAGTTTGTTTTAAAAAACAAAACCAAAAATAAACCAGAGAGAAGAGCTTTTCTGACTGAGACCAGAGAACCAATACAGATAGGTCAGGTAATCACGCCCTTTTTCTGATTATAAAAGGCAAATTCCCTGCCGCAACCTGGAGTCAGTGTGAGCAAGTAACAAGGTATCTAGGATTGCTTAGGGGCTGCAGAGAACCTATAGGTCAGAGTGACTCAACATTGAAAAGAGTTAGGCCAATAGAGGAGCTTGCAGGAGCTCAGCAGGTGGGAGGAGAGTGACAACACAGTTTCATGTCCTGGGCCATTCTTCTGCCAAAGTGGTACTCAGCTCCCATTGGGTGGCTACCACCCACGACTACAGCTTTCTCCCAAGGACCCACCAGGGCCCAGGGAGGGACCAGCTACTCTCACTCCCCATTCCTAACGCAAGGGCTGCACCACCCCTCGATGGCTTCCCCGCCCCCATGTTCACCTCTGTGAATAATCCCTTTACAGTTTCCGTGCTGCGGTCCCTCCCACTGAGCTCCTCACTGGCACAGGGGCATGTTGGGGACCTTGGGGTCATTTTTTGCCATTTAGTGTAGTCGTGACCTAGCACTTACGTAGTGAAATACAAAGCATTGTATTACAAGTTGTTTTTATCTTCCATACTCTCTTTTTTTGTTGTTTGTTTGTTTGTCTTTGTTTTTGTTTTGAGACAGAGTCTTGCCTTGTCACCCAGGCTGGAGTGAAGTGGCATGATCTTGGCCCACTGCAACCTCCACCTCCCAGGTTCAAGCAATTCTCCTGCCTCAGCCTCCTGAGTAGCTGGGATTACAGGTGCGTGCCACCACATTGGGCTAATTTTTGTAGTTTTACAAAAATTAGTAGAGATGGGGTTTCACCATGTTGGCCAGGCTGGTCTCGAACCCCTGACTTCAAGTGATCCGCCCACCTCAGCATCCCAAAGTGCTAGGATTACAGGTGTGAGCCACTGTGCCCAGCCTCCATATTTTCAAACAGAATTATATTGATTATTTTGGACCATGAGCATACATTGGTTATAAAATCAATGAATTTCATTTTAAGATAGTGAATAGAATGTTTCTAAATATCTTTTAAGGGTGGGCTGGAAGAAGGGCTGGGTCTCAGAGTTGGAAACCACTGGTTAGGGATTTGGCGTCTTCCCTTCCCAAAGACTGCTAGACTCCATACACAATTATTCAACCCTTCCCAAATTCCAGCCTTCTGTACCCATAAATAAACAGCTTTGCCAGGCACCTAAAACAGCCAAAGTTCTTCTTTCACCTTTTTCCTGGTTTCCCACATACATAACGAAGATTTGCTCAAAGATGGCCTATACCAACAAGGGGGGAAATGTAATTTCTGGTAGGGCAAAGAAAATCATGTACTGGCTGGGTACAGTGGCTCATGCCTGTAATCCCAGCACTTTGGGAGGCCGAGGCAGGTGGATCACCTGAGGTCAGGAATTCAAGACCAGCCTGGACAACATGGTGAAAACCCCTTCTCTACTAAAAATACAAAAATTAGTCGGGTTTGGTGGCACACACCTGTAGATCCAGCTACTCAGGAGGCTGAGGCAGGAGAATCACTTGAACCCAGGAGGCAGAGTTTGCAGTGAGCTGAGATCGTGCCACTGCACTCCAGCCTGGGTGACAGAGCGACACTCCATCTAAAAACAAGCAAAGAAAAAATCATGTATTATATTTCATGATGGTTATTCTAGGGGGAAAGGAAGGAAGGTAACCTGGCTGTACACCTGAGCATGTTCAGGCCTGGGCTGTACCCTGACGTGCACCATCTCCTCTACTCCTCACAACAGCGGGCTCTGCTTTTCCCTTCCTGGCACTTATCAATATCTGGCGGTTTATATAGCAATTAAACTTCCTTCCTCACCACCTCCCAATGTGAGCTCTGTGTAGGGAGCTGTTTTGCTCACTGTTGTATCCCAAGCACCGAGGACTTCCTGGATGAGAGAGGATTTTGAAGAAATGTGTGTTAAAATAATTGTGTTATGCCAGGTGCAGTGACTCATGCCTGCAATCCCAGCACTTTGGGAGGCTCAGGCGGGTGGATCACTTGAGGTCAAGAGTTCGAGACCAGCCTGGCCAACATGGTGAAACCCCATTTCTACCGAAAATATAAAAATTAGCCTGGTGTTGTGGAACATGTCTGTAATCCCAGCACTTAGGGAGGCCGAGGTGGGTGGATCGCCTGAGCTCAGGAGTTCAAGACCAGCCTGGCCAACATGATGAAACTCTGTCTCTAGAAAAATACATAAAAAATTAGCCAGACATGGTGGCAGGCGCCTGTAAACCCAGCTACTCAGGAGGCTGAGGCAGTAGAATCGCTTGAGCCTGGGAGGCAGAGGTTGCAGTGAGCCGAGATCACATCATTGTACTCCATCCAGCCTGGGCAGCAGAGCGAGACCCTGACCCCACCCCCAACCCCTGCCAAAAAATTGTGTTATGACTTAGGTATTATCAATGCCATTCCATGCTGAGGAACCTGAGGCTTGGAGAAATTACAAGACTGTCTGTGATGGTGAATTTTGTGTGTCAACCTTGCTAGGCCATGGTGCTCAGCTGTATGGTCAAACACAGTTCAGATGTTGCGGTGACAGTATTTTAAAGATGTGACTAACGTTTATAATCGGTACTTTGAGTAAAGCAGACAACTTTCATAATGTGAATGGGCCTCAAACAATCTGTTGAAAGCCTTAAAAGCAAAGCCTACGATTTCCCAAAAAAGAAGGAATCCTGTCTCGAGACTGCAACGTAGAAACCTCACCTGAGTTTCCAGCCTGCTGGCCTGTGGAATTCTGACTCAAAACTCAAACACCAACTCCAGCCTGAATCTTCAGCCTGCCAGCCTGCCCTGTGGATTTTGGGTTTGCCAGCTGCCCCAATCATGTGAGCCAACTCCTTAAAATAAACCCAGATAGATAAGTGATAGATAGATAGATAGATACATAGGCAGATAGACAGAGAGTATACCTATATATATAGAGAGAGAATGAGGTTTCTATGTTGCAGTCTTGAGACAGAATTCCTTCTTTTTTGGGAAATCATATATATATATGATATATATACACATATATATATAATCTCCTATGTATCTATCTATCTAAATATGTATGTGTATA
>NT_187585.1:0-71326 GCF_000001405.40 Homo sapiens
GAATTCACAAGTGTTTCCAGAGGAAGTTGTGTGAAAGGTGGCTAGAGGACCAGAATCTTTTTCCCTCGTGTCCTGGCTGTCCTGTGGCCCTGGACTCCACATTTTTATCACTAGCCCACTGGGCCCCCACCCTGTTGGGTGTCAGTGCTCCCCAAACTGACAAGTGCCCTGAGGAGGAAACGCTCGGATGCAGGCGCAGCTCAGTTCATTTCCTTTCTATGTGGGATCCTCACCTTCTATGTCTTTCTTGGTCTCCAAAGCCTCACACAGCTGTTCCTTGCTGTTGGCATCACTTAGTCTCGCAGTCCCTGGTGTTTCCATCAGGAAAGTCAGGCAGGCGTTAGCTTCACTGCCAGGAGGGAATCTCCTGTGGCCTCCATGGCGCTGTGTTTTCTTCCAGTCTTTTTTCTATGCACAGACACATCATCCCCTTTGTTTCCTTTTGTGATGCTGTTTCTAAAAGGATCTTTATTTCTAGAAGAAACTTTAGGAGGCAAAAACAGCGCAGCCCCCTTAACAGAGTGGCTCTGGTGGCAACTTTCCCTTGTTAATTTGTCCTGTAGCCCCTACTTTCCCAAGCGCTTGCTGTTTGTGGGGCTACAGGACACAGCAGCTGAAAGGGGCTGTGGGCATCGCCAGCATGTACCCTCTTATCCCATTTGCTGACAAGGATCCTGAAGGCCCAAGCATAGAAAGAAGTTGCTATGGCTGCCATGTGTCAGCAGCATAGCCATGGCCAACTCAGGGCCCTGACTCCTACCTGACCCCCTTCTGAATGACACTCAAGGTAAGGGTCCCCTTCCCACTCACAGATGAGGTGAAACATTTCACCTTGAAAAGCCTCTTGCCCCCAGCCTCCCCTCGAGCCCACACTGGGACATGGCCTAAGTATCTCCATCCCATGGAGTTGAACACTCTCCTTGTTTCTGGAAGGATCCAGTCTGCGTGCTCCTCAGGCAGTGCAGGGGCAGTGAGGGGATGACCAGCACAGGGTGGCCACTCACAATCTCCTCTCCTCTCTCCACTGCAGGCTGCGGGAACACCATCGGGCCACCATTAAGGTCATTCGACGCATGCAGTACTTTGTGGCCAAGAAGAAATTCCAGGTAAGCCCTGTGCTGAGCCTTCCTGCCCTCAGCCTGCCCCTCGCAGCCTGATGCAGCTGCCCACACCTCTCCTGGGTTCTCTCCTGCCCATAGTGGAGGGTGTCAAGGCCTCCGCCCCCAAGCCACACAGGCAGGCCTATCTGAGACCTGACAGTGCCTACCCCACCGAACCCCAGACAGCAGGCCCCTCAGAGGACCTATCCTTGGAGGCCCGGCCTGGAACCAGGGACACATGCAGTGTCTTCTTCACCAAGTAGAAGGCAGCAGCCGTGTAGCTCACTCAGTCCTCCCGTGGGGTGGGTCGTGCAAGGCAGCATTAGTGAGAGATGTGAGGGTGACATCAGAATGACTCAGAGATGGTGCGGAGCCTGCCCTGAGTCACCAAGCTGGGAAGGCAGGTCCCCCAGACCCCCCAGCCCTGTCCTCCACTGGCTCAGTGCTCTCATTCCCTGCTCCTCCACCCTCTGTGAGTTGGGAGGATGGAGGGAGGCTGGGCCCTGCTCTGTAAGAGGTGGGGTCCCCTTGGCCAGGTGAGGCTGGAGCTCCAGGGCTTCCATAAGCTGCCCTAACTTCTCCAGGGGCATGTCCCCCCTACAGAAGCCCCTTAGAGCCCCCAGAGTCCATGCCCCGCAGAGAATGCCATTGATGGCAGGCATGTCTCCCCTCCTGCCTTGGGGACATTCCTCGGATGAAGGCGGTGGTGGGGGGTACTGAGTCCTGGCTTGGAAATACATGTGTAGGTGTGGGAACCCCGTATCCTCTGTGGTGGGTGATCCAGAAGGCAAAAATCACAAAGCAGGGAAGGCTGGGGGGTGACTTGCCTGAGTCCCTTGGAGCGGGGGGCGTGTGACGTGCTTGAGTGAGTGCGTGTCTGCAGGAGCAGGGCAGGGTGGGGCTTCTGAGCTGGGGGCCCCTGGCACCTCAGCCACAGCCTCACCAGTCATAAGGCACAGCCCAGGAAGGCTCAGCAATGTCCGCCGACCACCAGGACCCACAGTCGGTGGCATCCCAGCCCACCAAGACTTATCCTGGAGCCACTGAGCTCCCTGCTAGGGTCTGGTCAGGGCTTATGGGGGCCTTTGTCAAGAGGTCGTTGGGTCGGGCTGGGAAGATCATCTTGACTTCAGGAGCCTGAGATGAGCCAAGATAATGCACAGCCCATCCAGACGGACTGACAGTGGCATTCAAGTCTGGTCCCCCTGCAGCCATGTCTTTCACACCAGGCCACACCTTCCACTCCAGGCCCCAGGATTGACACAGGCCCGCCCACAGTCTCCTTGGTGGAGCCCCCACCCATCTGGGCCCTGGAGCCACCTCAGCCTCCAGACTTCACAGGGCGGTCTGGGTGCAGACCCTGGCACAGGCAGCCCTGGGCAAGTTCTTCCCCAGCTGTGAGGGGAATGAGAGCCTAAGGGTTTGGCATAAGATCATATGCACGTGCCTCACCCGGGCCTTGCCCCCAGCAACCCCAGGCCAGCACCCGCTAGGCTCGTCGTCACTCTGAGCCCCAAGAGCAGCCCTCGGCCAGGCCCTTGCCAAGAGCAGTATGCGGGCCCTCGTTCTGGCCACCGGGCCACCATCTCCAGGGGGGTTTCGCATGCACAGCCCTCCCACAGTGGTGTTTCTCAGCTGGCCCTCCCACCTGCATCCCCCCAGGGAAGGGGGTGGTTCATGACTCAACTGAACCAAGTTGTGTCAAAGCTCCCAGCAGTGCCTGGGACCTCTTGCAGTCAAAATAAAAGCCATGGCAAATGCCACTGCTGGCCAGTGCCCGGAGATCTGCCTGGCATGTTCTAGGGGAGATCTGACAGCCCCTGTGGACCAGGGTGTCTCCATTCTGGGACCGTCTCCTCTCTCTGGTGCTGGCATGGAGGGCCTTGCTGGAGCAGGGAGCTCACTCGGGGGCAATGGAAGAGAGAGGCCAGCCTCCTGGCAGCACCAGTGCTCTCCCAGACAGGGAAGGGGCTGCGTGAACCCCTTTGGGACTCAGATCTGGGCAGGGCAGTCCCCCGAGGGCAGAGGAGACCATGGGAAGGGCCAGGGTGTGTCAGTTCGCTGGAGAACAGCATGGTCGTGACAGCCGAAGCAGCTGACGTCACCCCAGCAGTAGAGCAGAGGGACACAGGGAGCCTCCCAGGGTGGGGCTGGTGTCTGGCCTGAGGGTGCAGAGCAGGTCCCAGCAGGGCAGAGCCAGAGCCCACCAAGGCTTGCAGAACTGCGCCACTTGGGCATCCTGGGGGCTGCTTCCAAGGTCTGGGGGAACCCAGCAGAGCATGCAGACCCTGATGGCTCCTGGGCAGGCCTAGCTCCAGGGGTGGTGTGGGCAGCTTCCAGCTCAGGTCAAGAGATCATCCAGCCATCCCTTTCTCCATCAGCCAGGAAGGACACTGGCATTGAGGTTGATATCAAGGATATCCCATCGTGATAATAACTACCATGGCTTCCAGTCTTGTGGTGAAACCTCAGATGCGTAGCCTCCTGGCCAAGCGTCTGCAATTTCATGTTGTTGGAGCATTCGTTGAATACCTGGGAGTTGCAGCTCTCTGTAAGTTTGATGTGGCTGAACCAAGAAAAAAAGCACACGATTTCTACAGATATTATGATGCCGTCAAAGATTTTGAGGTGATGAGGAAGGCTGGCATCTTTCAGAGTGCAAAGTGATTTTGGAATATAAAGAATTTCTTTGGGTTGAATTACCTAGAAGCTTGTCAGTGACCTGTGTTCCTGAACTGTGAAACATGAATATATGGGCCAAGAAATGGTTTCTCTTGGTAAATAAGCAATTAACAAATACAAAAAGAGAGAGAGGGAGAGGGACAGAGAGAGAGAGAGAGATCATCTGCGCCAGCCCCAGCAGGCCCTGTCGCTGAGCCACAGGTGAAAAAGCTGGTCCCTGGGGAGGAACACAGTGAGCCCTGCACTCCCTTCCAGACAGGAGGGAGTGGGTCCCCTTTCCTGTCTTAGGACACAGGCCGGGACCCTGAGAATGGCCCAGGAGGCTTCCTGAAGCAGACTGGGAAACCCCCACCCCACTGTCTGCTTCTCCACTGCTCCCTGGCCCTGGGAGCCTTGCAGAAACCTGGCAACAGCAGGATCCTCGCAGGGCACAGAGGCTCCTGCACAAAGCCGCTGGGGCTCCCTCCGACCTCACCAGCTGGCTCTTATTGCTGGGAGCAGCATGGAGGGGTGGGGCCAGGGTGAGGGGAGCAGTAGCCCGTGGCAGTGAGGAGCTGTGTGTGGCTCCAGGGGCTCCCCTAGCCCACCTCTCAGGATGCTTCCCTTCCTCGACGCCTGCCTGTCTGCTTGCTTGCACCCCACCCCACCCCCGCTGGCCTCAGGGGCTGCTGACATGGCAGGTGACCCCTCTGCCTACCTTGCTGGCTGATAAGTCCTTGGCCAACCACCCCTGTGTCTGGCCCAAGGAGCCGGAGCCTCTCCACCCTTCAAGTGTGCCTTGAACTCCCTGTCCACCATCAGTCAGTCTGGACAGGCCTGCATTATCTCGGCTCATCTCAGGCTCCTGAAGTCAGGATGATCTTTCCAGCCCAACCCCAGAGGACCACTGGACAAAGGCCCCCGTGAGCCCTAACCGTATCCTAGCAGGCATCTCAGTGGCTCCAGGATAAGTCTCTGTGGGCTGGGATGCCACCGGGCCGTGGGTCCTCATGGTCTGCGGGCATTGCTGAGCCTTCTTGGGCTATGCCCTACACCAGGTAAGGCTGTGGCTGAAGGTGCAGGGAGCTCTCTGCTGATAGGCCCACCCAGCCCTGCTCCTGCAGACGTGCACACACTCAGGTACATAATACTTCCTTGCCCACAACAGGCCTGTTTGGAAGCACTCGCATCTGCAGAGGCTGCTAACACACACACCTACACCCACCTGGTCACAGTGGCCCAGAGACTCCTAGGGCTTGGTTTTCCCCTGCCCTGCCTCCCTTCACCTGCCCACACCGCACCCAGATGGCTGGAGGTGCCCCATGCTTCAGCTTCACAGAGCTCTGTGGTCTGCAGGAGGCTCACCACCATGACTCATGCCATGTTCAATGTGTTCTGAAGAGAGGCTTCGGCCACAGCTGGCTGTGACTCTGGCTCTGGCATGGTGCTGGCTTAGGATTCCCTGACCTTTCTCAACTCCCATCCTATGTCATCCTCACTCCCTCCCTTAAGGCAGAGCAAGGCAGTGCTCAGCATCCCATCTTAGAGAAGAGAGCGTAGAATCTCCATCATACAGAAGGGACATACGGAAGGGAGAAACAGAGTTCAACAACCCGTCCTACAGAAAGGAAGATCAAGGCTCAGTATCCCATCTTATAGAAGAGAGAGGCAGGGCTCAGCATCCCATCTTGCAGAAAGGAGCTTAGAATCTCCATTATACAGAAAGGAGAAACAGAGCTCAGCAACTCATCTTACAGAAAGGAGGATCAAGGCTTAGCATCCCATCTTATAGAAGAGAGAGACAGGGCTCAGCGTCCAATCTTACAGAAAGGAGGATCAAGGCTCGGCATCCCATCTTATAGAAGATACCAACAGGGCTCAGCATCCCATCTTACAGAAAGGAGGATCAGGGCTCAGCATCCCATCTTACAGAAAGGAGGATCAGGGCTCAGCATCCCATCTTACAGAAGGGAGCTCAGCATTTTCATCCTATAGGAAGGAGAAACATCCCATCTTCCAAAAGGGGGGATCAGGGCTCAGCATCCCATCTTACAGAAAGGAAGATCAAGGCTCAGTATTCCATCTTACAGAAAGGAGCTCAGTATCTCCATCTTACAGGAGGGAGAAACAGGGCTCAGTGTCCCATCTTCCAAAAGGGAGGATCAGGGCTCAATATCCCATCTTACAGAAAGGAGAATCAAGGCTCAGCATTCCATCTTACAGAAGGGAGCTTAGCATCTCCATCTTACAGGAGATGCTACCAGGTACAAGAGATGCTACCAGATGCTAACAGGGCTCAGCAACCCACCTTACAGAAGGGGAGGATTGAGGCTCAGCATCCCATCTTAAAGAAGAGAGAGACAGGGTTCAGCATCCCATATTACAGAAGGGGGAATCAAGGCTCAGCATCCCATCTTATAGAAGACAGAGACAGGGTTCAGCATCCCATCTTACAGAAAAGAGAATTAAGACTCAACATCCCATTTCATAGAAGAGAACTCAGTATCTCCATCTTATAGGAAGGAGAAACAGGGCTCAGCATCCCCTTTTACGGAAGAGAGAGACAGGGCTCAGCATTTTATCTTACAGAAGAGAGAAGAAGGACTTAGCATTCCCATATTACAGGAGAAACTGAGACCTGAGGATGTTATTACTAGCCTGTACATAAGTACGGTTTTTACGGGCCAGAGGGTCTGCCTAGAGTCCAACCCCATGCCTGCCTCTATCACAGTTCTTGGTGTGTCATTTCTGGGCAATGCCGGCGATCCTGGTGCCCAGTGTGGCCCCAGGAGCAGCAGGCCCTTCCTTCCATGGGGCACAGCTGTGTTGTGAGGACACGGGCCCCATCCCAGCCCTCCTGATCTCAGGATCTCCCGTTCAGGGCCCAGAGAGTGGCTAGTGTTGCCAGTGAGGGCCCTACCTGCTTGTGTCAGGTGGAAGAGGAACCCCCTGAACTTCTGAGGCCCAGCCTTTGGTAGGGAGGAGGTCTCTGCCCTGTCTTGGGATTCCTGGGGTCCAAAACAATGTTGGGCGGGCTGTAAGAACTCCACCAAGCCTCCGGCATTGGTGGCAGAACCCCTGGGCATGTCAGAAGTGTGTCTAGAGCTGAAAGTGGGTACATGGAGACCTGACCTCAGGGTCTCCCCATCTGGGAACTTGCTGCTTCCCAGGGTAGAAGTGGCTGCATCCTCAGATTAAGGTCACCCTGGTCTCAGGAGTAGGACCCCAAAGAGAGGTAGCAGGTGGGCAGGGAGGGCATGTTCCCAGACCCAGCCCGGGCCCTCAACGGTACCTGAGCTTCCTCCTTTCTCATCCTGGGCCTCAATTGCCTCCCTCTGACTTGGGCTGGCCCTGCCCCACCCCTCCCCACCAAGCCGCTTGGCTCGTCTCTTGGGCCTTGCAAATTCCCCAGCAAAAGGCAGGAAAGCCACTAGCTCAGTGCTAAGGTGGCTATTTGAGCACTAATGATGACTACCCTGGGCCTCACCCGGTCACCCAGTGGCCTCTCGGGATAGAGGCAGTCTGTTGTCCTATGTGCTGGCTTGCCTGCAGGGCCAAGGCCTTCCTAGGCCATCAAACCCCTGCTCAGCCTGGCTGCTCCACCTGAGTGAGGCCCTTGGGAGCAAGGCCACAAATGTGGCTTGGGGTTTCCTGATATCATGAGATGCTTTGTTTTCTCTGTTGTGGTTTCAAGATGTCACCTGAGTCCCACTTATAGGCTTAGAGCTGGCAACAAGCCTGGGAGCCCTGGGGTCCCCTGCCCTGCCTCACATGGCCCCAGCCCCACTGTGGGAGCCCAAGCAGATGCTCGTCACCCACAGCAAGTGCTGCAGGCTAAGGCCGTCATCTGGGGCCACCCCTGCTGCCTGGCACAAACTGCCAGGAACGATGCAGAGGAGACCCGCTCCCTACCCTGAGGACAGTGGCGGCTGCAGCCAGTGAGCATGTCAAGGGTCAGTCTGGGGCCCAGGTAGGTAGTGGGCATGCAGAGCTGTGCCTCCTGGTCAGTGCCTGGCACTGTGCTGCTCCTTGACCCCTTGGGGGGGCCAGCTCTTCCTGAAGCCATTGAGAACCAGAACTGGTAGCCTGGGGTGGTGGGGGGTGGAAGGGAGGAGACAGCAGGCCCCTGCCGGTGAGTAGACAGGAAGCTGGGACCCAGAGAGGCCGAGCTGATGGCCCAGGACTACCCAGAGACCCATGGCCAAGCTGATGGGGACAAGCTTCGCTACTGTGCACGCTTGGAACCAGGCTTATGCCATCACCACATAGGCGAGCTCCCAGGTCTTCACAAGCCTCCCGAGGGCAGACACTGTCACTGCCTGCACTTTGAGCCACATGGCTGGGGCACAGGGAGGAGAAGTGATGCGTGTCTTTTTGTCCCGCAGCAAGCGCGGAAGCCTTACGATGTGCGGGACGTCATTGAGCAGTACTCGCAGGGCCACCTCAACCTCATGGTGCGCATCAAGGAGCTGCAGAGGAGGTGGGCACGGCCAAACGGCAGCGGGGAGGGTGCCCAGGTCCTGCCCAGCCCGGCCCCAGCTGCATGATCAGCGGTGCCGGAGGAGGGAGGGGCTGAGACCCTGAGTTCTTGCCTCTCAACCACCCCCTTCTCCTCACCACCCCCAGCCCTGCAGAGGGAGGGCAGCTGGCCACGGCCACGGTTCACAGCCAGCCCACCAGGCAGCTCTACCTTGTTCCCCGCCCGGATCTGAGATGATGGGGGAATTGGGGTAGGGGAGGCGCGTAGGGGAGGCAAACACCCGCCTCCGTCCCTGCTCAGGTAGCAACACCAGCTTCACACTCCCCACAACTTCAGGACACTCGGCAGCCAGCCCACCCGCCTTCCCTGTCACCTCTGAGCAAGGGGCCAGGCCCAGCCCTGGGAAGACACTGCCTGGTGCCAGGCCCCACCGCACGGGTCTCCCCCAGACTGGCCTGGAGCTGGAGACCCTGACTGTGGGGAGCTAATGTGTTCCCATGGAGCTAGCACCATCCTCCCGGGCCTGCACAGACTCAGAGCAGCTGTGCCTCCGAGATGGGCTCGCCTGGGAACTAGCTCCGTGTGTTACAGGGCATGGCTGGGAGCCCGTGTCCATCCTGGCCACAGGCGAGGGGTCAGGCTGCCTTGCCCATGGCTGATCCACTGCCTCCCACTCCTACCCCCAGGGAGGAAGTCTGAGAGGCAGCCCACCGACTCCCCCTTTCCGAGATCCCTGCTCAGCCCCCTCGGGAGCATGGCCCTCTGGGGGGTTGGGAGTGACCTGGCAGGCCTTAGGGTCGGGGGTGTCCCCAGAGTGGGTGGACAGTCCACTGTCTTGCCGGGCACGTCAAGCTGTCTGTCCCACAGACGACAGTGCATCTGCGCAGTGCCAGGGCCAGGTGTGAACTGGTGTCTGTGTCCTTCTCTCCAGGCTGGACCAGTCCATTGGGAAGCCCTCACTGTTCATCTCCGTCTCAGGTGGGTTTCTGTGTCAGTTACTCTGGGCCCAGCAGCCTGCAATGGACTCTCCCGCACCTCTGCCCTCCTGGCTCTCCCCATGATGTCAGAATGGGCCATTGCACCTCCAAAGTGCATGACATGAAATGAAAGCCAGGGAGTAAGGGGAGGTAGACCCCACCCTTAGCAAAGTGGCTCCAAAGTACATTTTACAAAGGAATATTCAGGTTTCATAAGAACCTACCTGGGTCCCTTTAAATTCCAGGGCGTTGAGGTTAGGCTCTAGGTGTGGAAACATGAACCCAGGGCAACTTTGCAGAAGGGGGTGATCCTGGGGTGGGGTTTGGGTGGGGTGAGCTGCCAGCCCAGAATTCAAGAGACTATGGGTGGGGGCCTTGCAGGGCTCAAGTTGAGAGGGACAGAAGCACCTGGCTGCAGCCTGGGGGCTGGTTTTCTGGCTCCTTGACCAAATTCCTTGGGTCCCCTGGACACGGGGCTGTGAGTCATTCCGGGGAATGACAGGGAAAAGGCACATTCCCTGGGGTTTCCCTAGCCCAGATGCAAACAGCAGCCACGGCTCATAGTGTGGGCTGGTGTAACGGAGCAGCGGAATGGCTGTGCCCCCAGCCTGGAGTCAGGCCTGTGTCGCCCTGGGAGTGGAATGGCATGGGCTTGCACAGCTGGCAGTGTGGCCAGCTTAGGCAGCCCCCTAGGGCTCTCAGAGGTCAGAGGTGGAGAGCGTGGAGCAGGATGGAGCCCAGGTCCCCAGCTGCAGCCATGCCCGGCCACCGTACCACCCCTGGTATTTTTGTCATAGCATGCTTTTTAAAAATGTCCTAGTAGGTTTAGGCATTTTGACTCTCAGCTACCTCCCCCAGCCCTACCACCCCACTTCCCAAGCCCAGCTGGGGTCCCCGGCCCACCCCAGCACTTGGCCCTGATTTGGGTGTTTTATCCCCCATAGAAAAGAGCAAGGATCGCGGCAGCAACACGATCGGCGCCCGCCTGAACCGAGTAGAAGACAAGGTAGGCTCACGCGCCGGCCTGCGGTGGTTCTGGTTAGCGTCCTGGGGCCAGCAGGCACCTCCCTGTGGTCTGCGTGTGAACGTGAAGCTCCTGCAGGCCTCCCCACCTTCCCGCCAGTGCCTACTGCAGCCTGCCCAGCAACTCCCAAGAGGGGCCCAGGCCCACTGCCCACCTGGCGGGGCATTGGTCCCCCATGGAAGGAGCCAGGCCAGGCTGGTTTCTCATCCTCTGACAAGTGGCGTCTTTACTGGCAGGTGGCACCAAGTGCCCCCTCCCCCCAGCTCTTTCCCGCTGCCTCTCGTAGTCTGCTTTGTGCTCTGCGAGCCTCCTGGCTGTGTCCTGAGTGGAGGGTGGCAGAAGCTGGCCTCACATCCCAGCCTTCTCCTGGGCCCAGCTGTCTGGGGCCTCCACTTGGGGCCGGCCGAGGGCTCAGGGAGGTGCAGGGCCCAGCTGGGATGGGTTCATGGGAAGAGAGGCATCTTCTGTTCACCCCGAACCCACCAGGCCCCCACTCCCCACCAGGCTCTGTGCCCATCACTCGGTCCCTCAGGCCGGAGCCTCTCCCCCAGGCACCCTGGGAGCTGCCGGGGGATCTGGGCGGTGGGAGGGCCTTTCTCGGGCCCATGGCTGAGCCCACCACTGCCCTTTGAAGTCTCTGTGGTTTGAAGCGGGCTGTTATCTTGCCGAACAGCAAGTCCGTCTACATGGACTTTATCTGAAAGTAGCTGAGAGGCTAAAAATAGAGGAGTTTCAGTTGGGCAGGGAGTGCGTCTGCCGCCCGGTTTCCCTGGCAACGCCTGGCTCTGGCCTGCTTCCATCTCGGCTGCAGCCGGGCAGGCGGGGCAGGCACAGCCCGGCCCAGGCTCCTGCTCCTGCCCCACCCGTCCTGGCCCCCAGGACCTGCAGCGTCACCCTCTCCCCACCTGGCACCATCTGCCCATGGCCTGGGGCGGCCGTGGGGCCCTGAGACCAGCAAATTGGGTCATGCAGAAAGAGCGAAGGCTGGTGTTCAGGTGCCTGGCCCCATGGGGCTGTGTGACCACAGTACCCTGAGTCCCATGGGCCTGGCCACCCTCTGTCAGCACAGACCTGAGCAGGGCTGGTGCAGACCTTTGCCAGGCAGATGGCCCAGTGGGAGATAGCGCCCATCTGGCAGGACAGGAAGCAAGACCCGGGAGAGGTCAGCTCACAGGATTGGCAAGCTCAGAGGCCCAGAAGCCTTGGCCTCTCTGCTGCCCGGGGAACACGGTGTTTCCCTGGCTTTCTCTTTGCGCAAGGGCTGGGTGACTCCTGGCTGGCACACCCAGTACAGCAGGGCCGGGTACCCTGTGTTGTTGGCATGGCCAGGAGTTTCTAGACATCAAGGAAAGCCGTGGTAGAGACAGGGAGTGGCACCCAGTTCCCCAGCCTCCACTCCTGCTTCCATCTCGGCTGCAGCCAGGCAGGCGGGGCGTGAACATCCCTGACGTGCAGGAGTGTCGGTGGCCCTTTCTGGACAGCACAGGCTGGGGACAGCCCCCGCCTTTCCCCGCCACTCCCTGCCAAGCTCTGGTTCCATTGCCTACACTACTGTCCCAGACCTTTCTTACGGCTCTGCCCCTGCTCCATGGGACAGGCCACCCTCTAAGCCCAGACCTGGAGTCTGGCATCCTGCGGGGGTGATGGTGGGTGGCAGACAGGGCCTCCTGAAGTGCAATGGCCCCTTCCTGACGTGCACAGCAGCCGTCCAGCAGCCTGCTGGGGCCTGGGAACAAGGACACAGTCCTCAGTCAGCCAAGGTCGGTGTGGGGGCCTGCAGAGGGGCCAGCGCTGGCCTTGAAGGCACAAAATTATGCACCCAATTTCTTCACATCTGAGCAACAAAGGGAAGCATTTTCCGGAGTCCCTGATCCCTAGGGCAAGGTTTAAGAACAAGGCTGGGGCCACATCCTGGTGCCCTGTCAGGCTCTGAGCCGGGGCCACGAGGATTCTGGTAGATTCTGCATGCACAGCCCTGGTGGGCCCTGGCTCCCTGCCATTACATTCGAGTCCTCTGCCTGGGGTCTCTGAGGTGGTGAGTGGCACCCACAGTCGACACTAAATCTCAGCCCCGCTGAGGGGTCTACCTGGAACCTGGCTGCCCATCAAGGAGTTGACAGAGCTGTGCTGACCTAGGTGGGTAGGTGGTAGCCTACCCGGTCCTTGCCCTGCCACTGACTGGTGCACCCCTCAGGGACAGACCCTAGGAAAGGGCCTGGCTGGGCCTGGAGGGCTTGGTGGCACAGCCTGGCTCGAGTTTTCTCCGTTATCAGTGCAGCCATCGGGACCGTAAATACCCCAAGCGCAATCCTGCTGACTTCGGGAAGTAGGGGCAGGAAATCCAGCAGCCGCCCGGCCCTCGGAGGCCCAGCAGGCGTGCAGCGGTGCCAATGCCCGCCGGCCCTGCCAACCCCAGCCAGAGCCCCTGGCCTTCCCTACCAGCACCCTCCCCCACCTCATCCCGCTGGTCTGGCTGCCTGCCGGAAGGGAGTCAAGGCCCCAGCCTCCAACTGTTTTCTCAGCTCAGCTCAGCCCCTCAGCTGGGCTGTGCAGTGAGTCCCACCCCAGGCCAGCTTGCCTAGCCATAGGATGAGAGGTCTCCGGGATGCACAGCTGGCTGGCACCCCTCCAGGGAGGCCTAGAGTGTCCCCCTGCAGGGAGTTCACCAGTGCAGGCCAGCTGAGCTTGTTCAGGGCTGCCTCAGTTTCCCTGGCAGGGAGCCCTCTTCTTCCTTGGTGTCCTGGCCAGGGACCCACATTGGAGAGAGGGGTCTGGGGGTCTCCCTTCTCGTCACAGTCCTGCGGGCTCGTCAAAACTCTTGCTTGACAGTGCAGTGTCTGCTCCAACACAGACCTCCCAACTACCTTGCAGGACGTCCCCATTCCAGGGATCCCTTCCACCCCTGTGCCTGTCCTGGTGGCTTAGGTTCTGCCTCACTCCAGGGTGTGGAGAGCAGAAACCCACCCACACCCGCAGATCCAGGGGCCTCCTCACAGCGAGTCTACTTCCTGCGGGCCTCCCTCCCCTGTCAAATGAGAGGGTTTGACTCCTGCTTGTGTCCTTAGGGTCAAAAGTCACAAAAGCTGCCTCATGCCCTTTCTGTTTTCATCTTAGATTATTGTCTTCTTTATCCTGGAGAGGACTCTTATTTGCTCAAATGCCCACATAAATCCTCTTTTACAGATGGGGAAACCGAGGCTCAGAGAGGCTGAGTGGTCGCCTGAGGTCACACAGCTAGTTAGGTGAAGAGCTGGTCCCAAGGAGGACACAGACAGGGGTGGGAGATGAGGTAGAGAGAGCAAGGAGGGGTTTCATATCACCCAAAGTCCGTATGGAGAGGCTGAGGAGGGTTGAGGCCAGGGGCAGGCTGGGGGCACCAGCAGCAGGGCCCAGGGCCTTCAGTGTGGGCCAGGGACCAATGCAGGCGGTCGGGAGAGGTCCGGAGAGAGCTGGCCCTGCCCACTCCCCCTCTGGCCCCACTGGGCTTCCTGAAGTCCCACACAGGGCTGGCAGTCTGTGTGGGGGCTGCATACCCCAGACATTCTGAGGAATCGATGGCAGAGGCCGCTCCAGCCCTCCTCCCCCAGCAAGTATTCTTAGCTTGGTCTCCAGGACCTGCCACACTGTTTACGTTGGGCCCTGTTTATTTTGCAAGCTAAGCTCATACTGCTTTTGCTGATATGAGGAGCACAGTGGGCTGGGAGAGTTTCTTTCTTCTCTGTTTTTGCCGGAAATGTTCATGGCTGAGAGCCGGACACAGGGGAGTCCTGGGTTTCCATGCCGCAGTTCAGAAAGCGTTGGGCGGGAAGGGGCCCCCACCACCTGACACTCCTTTCACTGCCTCCGGTCGCAGAATCCAGGCCTCCAGGATGAGAATGCCCCCCAACCCAGGACTCCCAAAACCACACCCTGCCCATGCCTTTACCAAGCTTCGTGCATGACCCCAACCTCCAGGATGCAGGCAGGCCCAGCCTCCCAGAATTGGGTGTTTGCCCCCAGACACTGCTACCCTTTCCCTCATTCCAGTGTGACTCCTCCATCAACCAGGCCACAAGCTGGACCCCAAGGCTTTTTTGTCTTGGGCAGTTCCCCGAGCTGCACCCCCAGAGCCGCCGTGCTGCTGTTCATCCTCTCCCTTTAGCCCAACCCCTGCTGAGTTCAGGCCTTTATCATCTCTTACTTGGATTATTTTTCCAGCCATATATGCGGTCTCCGGCCTCTCCTCACACCCACCAATCCTTCACATTGTATATTATTTCTTAAACACTGCTGAAATCTCACTTACTAATATTTAATATATCAGAATTTTTGTGCCAGTATTTATGTGTGAGATACATACATGACATAATTTTCCTGTCTTGTATGGTCTTCATCAGGCTTTGGTGTCAAATGTATGTGAGCCTCACAGACTAACTTAAGAAGTGTTCCCTCTTTTCCTATATTGGGATATTTTGTATAAGATTAGAATTTTATTTTCCTCAAATGTTTGGTGGAATTTAAAGGTAAAGACATCTAGGCCTGGTGTTTTCTTTGTGGGAAGATTCATCATTCCTGATTCAATCGCTCTAATAATTATGGACTGTTCAGGTTTTCTATTTCTTCTTGTATCAGTTTTGATAAGTTATATATTCTAGGAATTTATACATTTCATTTTAGTTTCCATGTTCATTGGCATTTATTATAATTTTAATGTCCGTCCATTAGCATTTAGTCCCATTTTTTATTCTCAATATTATTTATTTGTGCCTTCACTGTTTTCCCCCTTAGTGGTCAAACTTGACACTATTCCCCTGTCTTATTAAATGTTTCGTGGACTTCTGGCTTTGCTGATCCTCTCTATTGTGATTTTGTTTTGTTTCATTCACTTCTGTTTATTTTATTCCTTCTATTTACTTGGCCTTAATATACTGTTCTTTCTCTAACCTCTCTAAATTAAGAAGAGGATAATTCTTAATTTTCAGGCTTCCTAAATTTCCTTTTCGTTTTAATTTTTCTAACCACTGTCAATCTCATGGCTTTCTAAATTTTTAAGGTATGCATTTAAGGTTATAAATTTTTCCTTTAAATATCATCCAAACTACATCTCCCACATTTTGATATATGGCATTTAATTTTAATCTTCATTCACTTTAGTATTTTTCTAATCTCCATTATGATCTCTTGTTTATCCTAGGAGTTCTGTAGCAATGTGGTTTTTGTCATTGTTATAATTGTAGCACAGCTTTCTCATAATGTTGCCCTCTTGTCAGAGAAAGCAATCCATATGATATTAATCCTTTAGAATGTTTTGAAATATGATTTACGGCAAAAATGTGGTCAATTTTTGTAAATGTGCCTTCTGTACTTGAAAACAAGGTATATTCTGACATTGTTGGGTGCAGTGTTATGTTCATATCCACTGGAACAAGCTTGTTAGTTGGTCTGTTCAAATCTTCTATATTCTCATTGGAATGTTTTTATCTGCTTGATCTATTATTACTGAGAAGGCATAGGGCAAATTTCTGTTTAACTTTCTAAGAAACTTCTAAACTGTTTCCAAAGGATTTATACCATTTTGCTTTCTCACCAGTAAAGTATAAAGGTTCCACTTTCTCCACAGCCTTGCAAATACATGGTCTTTTCTATTTTAGCCCTTTTAGTGAGTATGTAATGGTATCTCATTGTGGTTTTGATTTGCATTTCCCTAATGACTAATGATGTTGAGCCACTTTTCATGTGCTTATTAGCCATTCATAGTCTTCTTTGGTGAAATGTTTATTCAACTCTCTTGCCCATTTTCTAATTAAGTAGTCTGTTCTATTATTGAGTTGCAAGGGTTTTTTATATGTTCTGGATACAAGTCCTTTATCAGATCTATGACTTGCAAATATTTTCTCCCATTCTGTGGCTGTCTTTTCATTTCCTTAATCACATCTTTTAAATCACAAAAGTTTTTAATTTTAATGAAGTCCAATTTGTCTTTTCTTATATGGCTCAGGCTTTTGATGTTTTATCTAAGAACTCTGCCTAATCCAAAGCCATAAACATTTTCTCCTGTTTTGTTTTGGGTTTTTTTCCTTCTAGAAGTTGTATAGAATTAGCTCTTACATTTCGGTCTATATTTACTTTGAGGTAATTTTGGGGTATGATATGAAGTAAAGTCTAGATTTGTTTTGTTTTATTCTTACTTATGGATATCCAATTGCCCCAGAACATTTGTTGAAAATACCCCATTTCCTCCTTTGAATTATCATGGCTTCTTGGTCAAAAATCAATTGACCATAAATTTATAGGTTTATTTCTGGATTTTCAATTCTATTATGTTGGTCTATATGCCTTTCTGTAAGTCTATATGCCTTTCTGTAAACCCATACTATACTGTCTTGATTATTGTAGGTTTACAGTAAGTTTTAAAATTAAATTATGTAAGTTTTCTAATTTTGTTCATCTTTTTACAAATTGTTTCTGTCTATTCTAAGTCCTATGAATTTCCATATAAATTTTAGGTTCAACCTGTCAATTAAAAAAGAAGGGCCTGCTGGGATTTTGATAGGCATTGTGTTGAATCTATAGATCCATTTGGGGAAAATTGACAACTTAACAAAATTGAGTATTGTAATCAATGAACATGGTATATCCCTCCATTTATTTGATCTACTTTAATTTCTTTCAGTGATATTTTGCAGTTTGGGGCATATAAATTTGGTACTTCTTTTGTTACATTTACTCCTAAATATTTTATTTGTCATGCTAGTGTTAATGGAATTGTTTTCTTAATTTCATTTTGAATTAATTGTTCATTACTAGTATATAGAAGTAACATTAAATTTTTATATCAATCTTGTAAACTGACTTTTCTATTCTTGGCTTTAGCCATTTTTGTTGTTGCTATTGATTTCTTAAGATTTTCTACATATAGGATCATGTCTTGTGGCAATAAAGACAATTTTTACTTCTTTCCAGTCAGATGCCTTTAATTTCTTTGTTTTGCCTAATTGCACTGGCTTGAACTTCAAAAAAAATATTGACTAGAAGTGCTAGAGCAGATCTTCTGGGGAAAATCATTCAATCAATTTCCATTAGCTCTGAGTTTTCCATAGATGCCTTTTATCATGTTGAGAATATTTCCTTCTATTTTTAGTGTGTTGAGAGCTCTCATTATGAATGGATATTGGATTTTGTCAAATGCTCTTTCTGTGTCTAGTGAGATGGTCCTGTGGTTTTTATTCCTTATTCTACTGATTTGGTATAATACATTAATTTTCAGGTGTTAAACCAATCTCACATTTCTGGAATATATCCTACCTGGGCATGATATATAATCCTTTTTATATGATGCTGGATTTGGTTTGCTAATATTTTGTTAAGAATGTTTGTGTCTTCAACCTAGGAAAGCTGATTGAAAGAAAAAAAAAAGAATGTACTTTATATTCATAAAGGATACTGGTGTGGTTTTCTTTTCTGACTTTGATGTCAGATTTTTAAATCCTTTTCTTTTTAATCCTACAACCGTAGGATTTCAGGTTTGTCTTTTGTAAACACTGTATTACTGAGTTTTTAAAAAATCATTTAATACATTTATATTTAATACATTTATATTTAATATAATTTCTAATAGATTTGGATTGAATTCTAGCAGTGTATTTTGTGCTTTCCACTTGTACTAAATCTGTAATATTTATTTTTCTCCTCTTTCTTGCCTCTCATTAGATTATTACTTCTCATTCTACTTTTCTCTCTACTGGTTTTGAAGTTATGTATTCTACTACCATCCTTGGAAAGGTTAACCTAGAACATTTTAAATGAATATATATCAGAAGTAATTGCTATATCTACCCATATCTGTAATAAAATAGGGATCCTAGAACACTTTAACTTCAATTATTCTCCCCCTGACTTAGTACTTTGCTGTTGTATATTTTAGTTGAACTGTGTTTAATTTTTAACTCACTAATTGGTAGTGTTTTATACAATCAATATTTGTTTAAATTTACTCACCCATTTGCCTCTTTGTCATTTGTTATTTCTTTTTTATCTCAGATCTTACATCTGGGATTACCTTTTTATGTGACTGAGGGATTCATTTAAATTTTCTTCAGTGAAAAACTCTCAGATTTTGTCCGCAAATGACCATTTTACTGTCATGTTAAAAAATATTTCCACCAATTATAAAATTATAGGCCTTAGGTTATCAAAATTCTTTTTTCTTAGCACATTAAAAATGTTATTGAACTATCCTTTGGCTTCCACTGTTACCGTTGAGAATGAAGATGATGAATTGTTGCTCCTTGGAAGACAATCTGTCTTTTTTCTCTGGCTGCCTTTAAGATCTTTCCTTTGACTCTAGTCTGCATTTTCACTAGGATATGTTAATAGGTTTCTTTTTTTCTGCCTGAGCTACCTTACTCAGTGGTTTGGTGTCTTTCATCAGTTCTAGATTATTCTCAGTTAATACTTCGTAAGATTTCACTTCAGTCTCATTATCTCCTTCTGAAATTTTTATTGGCCAGTAGTAGACCACCTCACTCCCCTTCATATCTCTTAACCTTTTTTTTTTTTAAATCACTTTGTCTCTCTGTACTGTATTCTGGAATCCATCTTCCAGTTCACTAGTTGTTTCTTTGACTGTGTTTAATCTGCTGTTAAAACTGTTCAGTGAATTTTAAACTTCAATTATTATTATTTTATTTATAAAAGTTCTGTTGGGTTCTTATTCATATCTGATAAGTCATTTTAATCGTATCTTCCTCTTTACTTGCCTGTTCAAACTTTAAAATTTTCTTGAAGTGTATTAAATATGGCTATTCTATATTGAGCTTCTCTTAATTCCAGTATCTAAAGTATTTCTGAGTTCACCTCCCTGTTTGATTTTTTCTTCTGCTGACTCTCATTCATGGTGTTTCATTTCGTTTCTGTTTTTTTTTTTTTTTTCATTGTAAACTTATATATCTTAAAATTTATCTGTGGGAATTTTTGAAGTCTGGTGTGAAGTTGGGGTCCTCAGGGAGGAATCATGTTTACCCCTTCCATTGCCACATATGTGGGTGTACTGCCAGCCTGGACTTTTAATTCTAGGCTCAAAGTTTTCTAGGCCACTTAGGTAGTATGAATTCAAGCCTCCAAGCTGAGCATGGACTAACTTGTGAACATGACTTTCCAGGACAGAACTTGTTCTCCTTCTCTTAGCAGTAATGCAGTTTTCTTTACAATCTTCTCAGGGAGTAGGAGATTTTTCATTGGCCCTCACAATGAAAGCAGAGCCCTTTGAGGGTCCCAGCTTTGTGTAAGTCTCTGCTATGAGACTTCCTGGGGCAGGCCTGGGCTTTGACACATAATCATCTATTCCTGGTGAAACCAAAGCTCAAGTTCATCTCACTCATCAAATACCTTCAGGGCCCCTATTACCTCTGGGGTTCCACTTTCACTGAGTTTTCAGCCTCTAACCTCCCTTACTTCCTGGTCAGCTCATCCATGCTAGCCACAGATATCATTTTAAATTTTCTAATAGCCACTTTTTTAATTTAAAAGAAATAAGTAAAATTGATTACAATAATATATTTTATTTAACCCAATAGATCCAAAATATCATTTCAATATATAATTAATATTTTTAAAACTCTTAAAATTGTTGACATTCTTCTTTTTCATACTGGGTCTTCAAAAGCCACTGCATATTTTACACATTTCAATTTAGACACCGAGTTTTCATGAGAACGACTTGGTCTGTATTTAGATTTCATAAAATTTACCATTGAAAAAGGAGATTCCCATGCCTAAGTCATTTCAAACATACTGAAGGGTTTTCTAATAACCGAATGAAGGATCTATCTTTAAATTTTAATTTTAATTTATTAAAATGAAAATTCCATTCCTGGATCTCAGTCACCACTTTTTTAAGTGCTGTGCCACACAGATTCAGCTATGGGACAGCGCTGCTTTGGACGGGCATGGCCGTGCGCGCGTGTGGGGAGGTGAGTGTGGCTCCCCCAACGTTTACCCAGGCCAGCCCCAAGGAAATGCTCAGTGAGTGCCCATAGAATGTGGTGAATGTGGATGGCAGGGACCATACGGGAGAGCACACTCCAGTAGTTGCCATCTCATGGCCCCAGCGCCCCTCTCCACCCCATGCCCCCAACAGAGATGCATCCCTGCAGACCCCTCCTGGGCTCCTTCTCCACAGCATCCTCCCCAAGTTCCCCTGCCTCGAGTCCCCAGAGCTCATGACCCACGCCTCCCCGAGGTCCCTAAGGAATGTCCGCTTGGGATTCTGGTTCTTTTCCGGTTCTCTGCAGCCAGGTCTGTTCCCTGGCGTAGCTTCGCAACTGGAAGGTGCTGCTCAGCAGACTGTGAGAAGTGTGTGTCGGTGCAGGCAGGACACACTTCCAGGCTGTCCCAGAGGCCAGGGAGCACCTTGCCACTGAAGGGCTGGTTGCATCAGAAAGTTAGGCAGCCTGGACTGCCCTGGCAGCCCCAGACCTGCCTCTCCTCGGCAGCTCCCCCTCCCCTCTGCACCACCCCCCGCCCCCCACACCCAACCCAACACTCCTCTCTCTGCTGCTGGGCTGCTCTTGAGTGACAGGGCCGTAAATAGGCAAAGGCGGGGGCTCTGACTGATCAAAGGGCTCCCTTTAGAAGCCGTCATTAGTTTGCTATTCTGGGAACTGGTTATTTTAAGGTTAGTGTATTTTTTCTTTCCTGAGGAGCCGTCTTAGTGGATGGCGGAGTCCGGAGGGGCTGCCCTTCAGTCAAACCACACAAGCCCTGTTTTGTCTGGGGTTCCAAAGATAAACCTATAATGAAAGCAGCGTTTGACGCTGAGCACCGCCACCCTGTTCCTGCACAGGGGTGGGTGTGTCTGCCAGGGAGTCCCTGTGCCCAGCAAGCTCCGGGGAGGCTTGCAGGAGGCCCCTGGGGCCAGGTTGAGTCTGCTCCCAGGGAGCCTGAGGTGGGAGGTCTTCAGACCTGGCATTCTCACAGCCATCATGGCTTGCCTGGCCAGGGACCGAGGCCCCGTACCCTCCCCCAACTTCAGGCTACCCCCAAAGGCCACCCCTGGAACCAGGCTCAGCAGGCACCTCTGAACCGCAGCCCAGCTCTGCCCAGCACCTTCTTTGGAAAGACAGTGGACCCACCAGTGGCCAGGGGAATGCACACCCCTAAAGTCAAAATGTAAGGAAATGATGATACCCTGTGCTGGCATGGGTGCGGAAGAGCAGACGCTCTTCTGTCTTACTAGGAGGTGGGAATTAATGAAAGTAACAACTCCTGGAAGGGACTCTAGCACTGCCTGTGAAAACTAGAAACCCGTCATCACTCCTAGGAAAGAAAAGCACCAGGGTCGGGCTTTGCATGCAAGCTTTGTCATGTGACAAGCTCAAAGCCATCTGTTTGTCCATAGAGAAGCGTGGTATATACTGAGACACCTCGACGCCGCAGCCCCAGTGCCCGCCACAGACGAGCTTTTGCCGGCAGTCATTGCTCGGGAGGGATATTATTGATGTGTTGCTCAGTAAGAAACCAAAGTTGCCAAGGAACGTGATCGCATCTCTGTGCAGCCACAGCACCCAGGACGCAGCTGGGAAGGGAGGCCAGGGGACAGCTGCGCTCCGGGATGCTGGGGCCGTCGGCCTCCCCCTTCCCAGGCCCAGCTCCTGGGCACTGGGACCACCGTGGGCTTGGCTCTGAGATCCACCATGAGTTCTCGCTTTGTCCAAGATTGAGATGCGCCAGGTAGTTGGTGTGCTCATTTCGAGGTGTTTCTTTTTCCCCCCAGTAAAGTGATGTCACGTGGAGGTGAGTGTGATGGGAAAGGGAACCTCAGAAACAAGGTCCCACCTTGGTCCTCTGGTCTCCCCTGGGAGGACCACCCCCAATCCTAACATCCTGTGAGGTCCTCCCCACTCAGAGGCTCCTCTCTGTGCCACCCATCCTCGGATAGGTTGCCATGAGGTTGCCAGAGGCTGGCAAAGGGCACTTGTCAGCTGCAGATTCCAGCCCTGCCCTGGGACTTGGAGGGGATCATATCCCTTTGACCACCAGGTCATGACCCCCAGATCATATCCCAATGACCCTCTGCCATACCATGAGCCCAAATGACCCTCAACCTGCCACAGAGACAGCCCCCACTAACTGCCACTGGGTGATGGGACCGTGGAGAGTGCCCAGCTCAGAGGAGAAGCCTGTCTGATGTGGCTCCCGTCCTCCTCTGCTGGGGTTGTCTACACTGTCCCCACTCGGTGACACCAGGAGCTGGCATTGCCTCTGGTTCTACTGCTCTGGACAGCCCTGGCAGCAGTGCCCTAGCCTGGCCCAGCACCTACTGAGACAGCCGGGCCAAGCCCCATCCTGCAGGTGCAGTCTCACTTTGTCACTCTTGGTTACCCATGGGACCCTGAACCCCATAGGAGGGGCTCATCACTCAGGGTCCTCATCCAGGTGTGGCCCATCCACACCCAGCATCCAGCTGTGCACACAGGGCCACACACAGACCCCTTTCCCATCCCCCCTTCCCATCCCACACAGGGCAAAAGCCTGACCTCCTCTCACGCCTTTGGAGCCAGTGGCTGGGGTGCAAGCTCTGCCCCCTACACGCGATGGCTGTGAGACTCGGCGAGTCACGTGGGCTCTCAGCGCCTCAGCCTCCTGGCCCCCAGTGGAGGGGACAGGCACCATTATGCCGATCGCTCGCGTGCAAAGGCCCTGTGGCGTGGGCAGTGTCACAAGCTCCTGGCCCAGGAGGCCTGCTTGGCTGATGGCAGAGCTCAGAGGGTGTGAGCATGAGGATGGCATCAGGGGTCTCTCTGCAAGTTCAAGTTCCGCCTCAACCCTACTACGTGGCCCTGGCCAGGCCTCCTGAATCCAGGTCTTGCTTTCCCCAGCTATCCAGCGGCTTCCTGCTTCTCTTACCCTCAGCAATCCCCCAAGAACTGTTCTTTTCCCCACACTAGCGTCTCTCTTTCTTGGGGTGTTTCTCTCTTAGCCTGCCTGTGGGGGACAGTTGCCACCCTCAAGCCTCTCCTGAATGACTCTATTTATAGGCCTCCAATATTGGCCAGAGAGGAAATTTAAGTCTTTTTAAAAATTCAGCTCAAGTGTGTGTCAACTTCTGTGAGTGCAACTGCTTCAGAGAGAGGCTGGGATAGGACAGCAGGCGGCAGGGGCGTGTCAGGTGCCCGAGCAGGACGGTGGCCGGAGCCCGCAGCGGCCGAGCCCTCACTGGGCACCGTGTGCGGATCTATAATCGACAGCATCAATTGCGGGAGTCCGGCTGGGCTGGCCGCCTGCAGGGGCCAGGGCGTGAGGGCGGTGCGGAGCCTTGTCTGTGCGGCAAACCCTGCCTGGCTGCCCTGGCCAACCTCAGAAAAACATGTATTTTGGTCAAAATGGGCCCCTTTTCAAACTTGTCACCCCGTGGGTCAGGGCACAGCCTGCCCCCAGCCGGTTCTGCATATTAAGCAGTGGCTTGGTCACCATCAAAAATAGATGTCCCGACCCGAGCCTCCCCTCCCTCCCGGGGAGGGGACCTGGCCGTGCCGGCTGGGCTGGGAAACCGCGGGCGGGGAAGGAAGGACGGGGCGAACCGGCGGCACAGGCCCAGCACGTCCCGGGCCCTCCCCGTCAGGTGTGGACCCCGAGGTTGTGCGGGGGCTTGGCGGCAGCTGCGGGTGGGGGTGGGGGGCCCGGGCCTCCCGGGCTCGGGTTCTGGCCCCAGGTCAGAGGTGGCGCTGGCGGCAGGTGGATGCCCAGGTCCTCGCCGCGCCGCTCCGGGCGGTGGGACCGGCTTCCTGCCCTGGCTCCGAGCCCGCAGGTGGGGGCTTCCGCCTCACTTTGGACGGTGGCGTCCACAAAATGGCTGACGCGGCGCACGGCCGTCCCTGCACGGAGCCGGTGTTTACTTTGCCGCGCGAACAGCCTTTCGTTGCCCGGGTTCCGAGTGCTCCAGAGGCAGATGGAAATTTTTGTGGATTAAACACGGGGCCGAGGCGCGCTGGGCTGTTTGGGTTGGCAACCTGAGCCCTCCCCACCCCGTTCCGCGTCCGCTGCTTCCCGCCCTGGTCCGGCGCTTCCATTCATGCCTTCCCGGGTCCCTCCGCCACCCCTGCAGGCCCGGCGTCCCCTCCCGCACTCCCGCGGCCTCCAGGGGGTGGCCCTGCAGGCCCAGAGCAGCGTGGGCCTGAACCCCTCTCCACGTGTGGAAGACGCTGCAGCAATAGGAAGGGGCTGCTCCTTTGAGGGCCCTTCTCAAACCTGGAGCCCCTCTGGCCGCCAGATCTTTGTCTGTGAAACAGCAGCCAGTGTGTGGACCAGGCAGGAGTGGATGGGGTGTGTGCCCACAAGTCCAGCACCCAGAAAACCCCCAGCACACGGTCCCTTTTACAGTGGCCTCTGCTCTCAGGAAGGTGGAAAGCGCCAGGTGGATAGGAGGGACGGGGCCGTGACCCCTCCCTCTGCCCAAGAGAAACTCTCTCCCTCAGGTCAGACCCAGGCCTTTCAAGAAGAGGTTGCAGGGTGTGCGGGCTGCCAGGAAAAGGTCTGTGCGGGTGAGGGAGCGCATCCTATGGATATCTAGAGGAAGAGCGTTCTGGGCGGAGGGCACAGCGGTTGTGGGGTGCGGGCTGAGGCAGTGCCTGGACCACCTTGGCAACAGCAGGAGGCACTGGCCAGAGCCACGGACAAGGGGGAGCCTGGGGGCGCAGACCACCCTGTGAGGCCTCAATTAGAGGAGATGGGGGCTTGGGGCCCCGGAGGGCTGAGATCCAGCTCATGGCTTTGGCAGCATTGTTCTTGCACGTTCAGGATTAGCCGAGTAAGGTGAGCCTGACAGCGGGGCCAGCACGCAGCCCCCTGCCCCTCGCCCCCTCCCTGCCCCCAGTCCCCCACATAGGTGTCAAAGTGCACAGCACCCCCTCTCTTCCCCGCCCCCCGGGAGCCGCAGGTCAGGCACACAAGAGCCATCTGTGTGGGCGGCAAGGTGGCTGCCTGTCTGCTGCCCGCAAAGGGATGCTTGTCCAGCAGGGTGAACACCCCGTCAGGGCAGGAGCTGCTGAGGAGATGCTGATGCCTGGGTGACTCATGCTACCTGGCCACCCATCCTCGCTGGGCTACAAATGGGTTCAGCCTCATGGGCATCAGGCAGGGCCCGCCTGGGTGCACCCGACAAACACAAGGGCTCTTGTTCTAAGGCTCTGTGATAGCCCCTCTTACTGAGAGGGACCATATCCAATAACGGGTGGAAATTGCACTAGCAGGGTCATGTGAGGGCTCCGAGCTTTCTCCAGAACCCAGGAATATCCTCAAAACTGAGGCTGGGCACAGTGGCTCACACCTGTAATCCCAGCTCTTTAGGAGGCCAAGACGGGGGGATGGCTTGAGGCCAGGAGTTCACGACCACCCTGGGCAACATAGCGAGACCCTGTCTCTATGAAAATAAAAATAAAAAATTAGCCAAGCGTGATGGTGTGTGCCTGTGGTCCCGGCTGCTCAGCAGGCTGAGTTAGAAGAATCGCTTGAGCCCAGGAGTTCAAGGCTGCAGTGAGCCATGATCACACCACTGCACTCTAGCCTGGGCAACACAGTGAGATCCTATCTCTAAAAATAAAAGTAAGAAGTATTTTTTTTTTAACTGAGGCCCTTCTGGAGGGATGGAGGGACCAGAAGTCACAAGGAGCAGAAAGGAAAAAAGCAAAGGAATCCTTCTGAAGCACTGTGGGCATTTATTCATTCACCTTGTGCCACTGCCTGGGGCTGCAGTGTGAGTAGGGTGGGCTGGCCCCTGCTCCTTAGAATGTACAGCCCCATGGCTGGGCAGGGGGACGCACATAGTGACCCGTAATTACATATCTGTCTGTGTGAAGGAGAAAGTACTCGGTTTTCCCAGTCAGTGGAGTCAGGAGCCCAGAGCCAACCAGGAGTGAGTGAGGAGGAGGAGGGTGACACAGGGTGGAAGAGTGTCCAGTGTGTGCAGCCTTGCAAAGGCCCTAGGGCACGAGGGCACATCCTCCTGAGGCCATGAGAGCAGGTGAGGCAGAGCTGGTGAGCGAGGGATGGCCCGGCCGGGCCAAGGATCCAGGGGTGGCTCCGGCTTCGTGGGAGGAGGGTTACAGGCAGGTGAGGATGCAGTTCCAGGAGTGGTGAGGGGCTGCTGTGGGATGAGGGAGAGCATCAGCACTTTGGACTAGGGTGGAGGCCTTGGGGCCAGCCCCCAGTCTGCCAGCCCCACCGATGAGAACAAGCAGACTGAGGGGAGAAAGGTTGGAGAAGGACCCCGAGCTTCTGCTGTGAGCCCCCACGTGGGGATGCTTTGCTCGGAGGGGTGCTGAGGTAGGAGGGTCAGGAGGGTCTGGAGCTGTATTTGGACTTGGCAGGCAACCAAAACCCCAGTGCTTAGAGATCAAGTGGAAAAGAAAAGAGGAAGAAGATGGGGGAGTGAGAGAGATGGGAAGGCAGTGAGGGAAGCCTTGGGGAGGCCGTGGTCAGGGGCGGCACAGGGGAGAAGCAGGCTCATGTGACTCAGCCCTGAGCCCAGCCGGGCCCCCAAAGATGCTGGACCTTAAAGACACAAAGATGTGATGCATGTGTGTTCACAGATTAGCGGGGAGCAGATGCCGCATGGAGGGGCGTCAGGGAGTACACCGCCTTCCCAGGTGAGGGTGTCCTGGAGGAGGCACAAGTTCTGCTGGGCTGGACTGGACCCAGCAAGAGAGCCTGAGCCTGGAGGACCCCTCTGGCCCCCATCTCCCACTTTCAGCTTCAGCTCTGAAGCCACCACCCAGAACCACATACCTGTTCTTCCCAAGTTTGCTCTCCCTAGCGGAGGGAAAGACGGGAGGTCCACAGATTACCTTGTCTCTTGAAAGCAAGATGCCACCAGTGGGGACCAATGTACAGAGACCAGGCCCAGCCTAGAGTGGGTATAGCTCATCACACCCCCAGAAGCTGTGCGGGGAGGAAGGCAAGCAGGCAGCACAGTCAAGACCTGAGTTTGATGACTCAGAGGGTCCTCTGCCTGTGGTTGGCGGGGGTCCAAGGGGTCTTCCCATCTAACTCGCCACCTCCTCCCACGTCCCACTCAGCTCCACCCCACAGCAGCCAAGAAGCCAGGGCATCACTTGACCTTCCGCTGCGTCAGTCTCCGCATCTCGCCTCCCCTACCCCCGACCTCTCGGGTGCTGTAGGGATGAGGTAGGAGTGGTGGCTATGAACTGGAGGCCTTCGCCTCGGGCTGGAGCTCAGAGCAGTCCCTGCTGCTGCCAGACCTGCAGTTGGGGCACTGCACCCATGTCTGGGGAGGCCACGGACAGGGCCCCAGGGTCTCAGGTGACCTGTCTTGTGTATCCCACTTCGTTTCTCTCTTTCCCTAAAGGTGAAGTTCTGGAGCAAAAAGAGCCTGAGCTGTGAGCCGAGGGGCTCCTCCTCCTCCAAACTGACACCCAGTCACAGAGCAATTGCTAAAGACACAGTCATGCTTGGGCCCAGAGTGGGCCCCACGGAGCTTCCCCCAACCCAGCCTGGCTTGAGCAGGCCCCTGATCTAAACCACCCTACCCCACACCCACTGGGGCTCACCTGGGGTTTGGCCAGCATCCCTAGAAATCAGAAGCCCGCCCCTAATTCTGCCAGCTTCTGGCTTTCCGTTGCCATGGTGACACCCAGCCCCCAGCTACAGATCCCGCCAACTCTTCCCTGCCATTTTGCAAGAAACAATATTTTTCTGCTCCACAAACTTGGCGGGACCCTGCCTTTCCCCGGGTCCATGAGGAACCCCACGGGTTCCTTGCCCTGGAGTCTCTCCAGCTCTCATCCCCTGAGTGCCTCCACAAGCAGGGGTCCCATGGGGCGGGGGCCGGGGGAACAGGGGGTAAGTGTGGCCAACCCCTTGCACAGGGCTTGGAGATGGAGGCCCCTCCCCAGGTGAGACCGGCCTTTGGCCCCCTGCCCCACTCACACAGGGACACCCTTTGTGTTTTTCCACATCTGAGAGCCACCGACATTTCTTAGATGACGTTTTCTTGAACCCACCGTGCTTGGTGCCCGTTAAGTACTTCTACTGCAGCAGCCTAGAACCGACACGTGTGAAACCATTGGCTTATGGCGCAATGCACTTCCTCCCGGCATGCATGAAAACATAAATGTAAATACCAAAATACACAGGGACTATTCGGACACCACCTGAAATCATTCCATGTCCCACCAGAAGCCAGCACGGCCCCTGGCCCCCTGCCAGGTGACGCTGCCCCATGGCAGCCACAGTGCTGATGAAGCTCTGTTTGAGATCACCGCCTGGCTAAGGCCAAGGCGGCCACGTCAGTTCTCACGGCTCCTCCCAAACTGAGGAGCATGGAGGACCCTGGGCATTGATGGCAGGGTGGCAGGAAGCACCCATCGCTTTCCTCTCCCGGATCTTCCCAGCACCCTTCCACCTTCAGCCTTTATACCCCGAGACCAGGCGAGGCCTCCCACTGCCGACCCAGGCCTATCATGGGGCCTGAGAAGTAGTCCTCATTTCCTCACTCTCACACCCCGACACACCCTCTCCATGGGGAAGGAAAACGTGCCCCGAAGGGGCCTGTGTCCAGGTTCCTGCCCACTCAGCCCCTCGGGGCCGTGTCTCCCTGCGTCAGAGCTGGGCCTGAAGATAATGGGCCCACTGAGGTGCAGGCGGTGGACAGACCCAGGAAGACCTCGTGGGTTTCCCAGGAAGACAGAGACTGGGAGCCATTCTTCCCGGCGGCAGCGGCTCTCGGCCTGTCCTTGTCCCCACACAAGCCCCCACTGCTGCGCCGTCCCTCCTGCGCCACCTGACAGATGTGGCGGTGAGAAAACGATGGGGCAGGGAAACGTTCGCCATTCGGTGCCAATAAAGGCCGCCTTTATCCCGACCGTAAATGGTTTCTGTGTGGAGTGAGACTGTGCCTGTCCCGGGCCTAACCCCCCAAGGGCCAGAGAGGCGAAATTAGATCCGTGGGGAGAGATTTTACAACGTATGGGCTGGTGGCAAGTGGCGGCAAACCGTCCCCACGGGGCCACAACGGGGCATTGTTCACGGCCTCACCTGGGCTGTCTCCAGCACCCCAGGATTTACGAGGACTCGGCCCAGAGCCTCGATGCCGGCCGCTCCGGGCAGACCTGGGGGGGTGGCGGGGGGGAGGCCCTGTGAAGAGGAGGACAGTGCTGGGGGCTGGGCCACGGAGAGGCCGGGCAGCGCTGGCCCCAGCCCCCAGCTCCCAGCTCCCCAGAGACAGCCAGCCAGGAACGGGCCCCAACCTGCCTGCAGACCAAGCGGTCACATCGCGAATGAGTCCTCATGCTGTGCGTCCCCCACTGGGCAGCCAGAGGTGTGCCTGACGGGGCCAGGAGGCTGAAGACAACCTTTCCTTGGGCTCTCAGCGATGCCAGCTCCAGCTGCTGTGTCATCAAGGTCGGGCTGGGCTGGCCTCTTCCTAGCAGACCTTCCAAAACCCCGCAGACTCCCGTGGCTGTACCAGCCCTGCACCTCCTGGCCACCTGCCCCTGCGTACCCACCACCCTTGCTCCGGAGCTCGAGGGCCCTTTCCCCACTAGCATCTGACCGCCTTCTTGTATGTCTTGAAGGTTCTTTGCCTTCTCTGTGCAGCAGGGCCCTTTACAGTGTAGTCTGGCCCCTCCTCCTCCCCCGGGCCCCGTACTTCCTCCATTCTGCCCCTTCTCAGGTGTGCGGGACCTTTTTACAGCCCCCTGCTTGTGCCTGCACTCCCTCCCCTGGGAGCCTGCCTCACCCTGACCACATGGCCTTCGGCACCCAGCTTGAGTGTCCCATCCTGTGAAGCCAGCCGGTTCCCCCAGGCACAGGGGATACCTCTTCCCTTTGGGCACCTGCCCTGCGTACTGTGCCAGCCTCCAGGTTGGCCCAGGCAGCCCAGGCTGCTCAGGGTCATGGCCAACCCAGGGCACCGCGGTGGGCAGATGCAGCCCCTTTCCAGGCCAAGTTCAGCCCTCTCACCCTCACAGGGGACCCAATTGCACAGCCATCCACAGCGGCCTTGGGACAATACTGAGTCTTGAGTTAGGGGTGTCTCTCCTCAACCCTGAGAGCAGCCCCTTTTCCCACCCTCAGTGCCCCCACTTGTGGCCCAGGCCCAAGCAAGCCTGCATGGTGCAAACCCACATGGCAGCCCAGGGCCCAGGAATGGCTGTCCAAGAGGAAGGGGCTGGACCGTCCACGCCCTGGGTTCCCAACCACCCTTCCCCTCCTGGTCACCTTTCGGCTTGGCATCAGGAGGGCTTGAAGAAGACTCCTCAGCCCCACCTGCAGACCTAGCTAGTTGCCAACCACCTGGGGTTGTGCCCAGTCCTCAGAACTCACCTGCCCATGGTCATCTGAGCCGTTCCCACAAAAGCCTTCCTTGGGATCCTCAGCCGTCTGGGGGGCCTCCTTACTGGGGTCACCTCAAAAACAGCTGTAGAGGGGTTTGCGGCAGCAGCAGCAGACGTTTTTAAACTAATTCATTGGTGATGGCAAAATTATGCCGAGTTCCCTGAAAAAAAAAAAAAATACCCACTCTATTTCCTCATTAACATAATTGCAAACAGAACGAATTTTCTTGATTTCGTGTAAACAACAGCTTGAAATAGTTTATAATCCTTGCAGGTATCAAATTAAGTTCTTACTTATGGTCTGGAAATTAATTACCCTTGCAGCGAGACAAATGTGAAAACTGTGTATTTTTGACAAGAAAATGAAGCAGCTATTGGGGAAAATGTAACTTAATCGTAGCAGAGAAAATTGTTTATAAATTGGTCGCGTTGTTTGAACTCTCGCCTCTGTGGCTCAGGGCTGGGTTGATCTATGCATGTACATTTGCCTAATTTGGGACAGGGGAAGGGGCTGGAGGAGCAGGAACAGGACGGGGGAAGGAGAGGAAGAAGAGGAAGGAGAGCAGAGGGTACCCGCGTGAAGGGTACCCACGAGGAAGGGGACATTAGACAAGAATGCAGGTGGTCAGGCGGCACTTACCTGGCAGGTGAAATCTAAACAGGCACCTTCAAAGGAGGACAAAGCAGCTCCCTTGGGTAACTAGGAAGAGGACACCAGCTGGCGAGGGGCAAAGCAAAGGACCTGGGACAGGCACGTGCCTGGAACAGAAAGGGAGCCAGTGTGTCTGCATCAAAGTGAGTGAGAGAGCAGCGCAGGAGAGAAACTCTCAGAGGCAGGCAGGGGCCGGACCACGGGGGCGGTGGTGCTCAGATTCCATGTGGCTGTCCATCCATGGTGGGCCAGGAGGTCACTGTTGTGGTGACAACCAGCGCTCTTTGGAATGGACTGAAGTGGAATGTGATGTTTAACTTCTGTAGCTGTAAGTTCGAGTGTGTGTGTGTGTGTGTGTGTGTGTGGTGTGGTGTGTAGCATGCTTGCATGCCTGGACACAGTGTGTGTTGGCATGTGTGGTGTGGTGTGTTTGTATGTGAGGGCAGTGTGTGTGTTTTGTTGTATGTGGTGTGTCTTCTACGTGTGAGTGTGGTGTGTGTTGTGTCTGCATGTATCGTGTGTGTGGTGTTTGTGTGTGTGAGTGTGGTGTGTATATGTTGTATCCAAGACAGCCAAAGGGAAGTTCCAAGGGGCTCGTGCACTCGGTGTCCAGGGAGCAGCATCTGTGCTGTCTGCAGGTAGTCACCGTTCTCCATCCTGTTACAGCAAATACCCTCCTCTGCATTTTTCCCTTGTGTTTGATTTGCCAGGAGCAGAATTTCTGGGTTGGAATCGGGAACATTTAGAGGAGCTTCTCAGTAGAGTTGTACAGAGTGGAAATGAGTCGGCAGGCTGCATGGGGGGTTCCAGTCACAGCACAGAGGGTGTGTGTTTTCGGTGCCTGCCCTCCTGAGCTCCAAGTGTCCCACGCCTGCCCGTCAGTCCTCATGTCTACCTGGGCGACCCCATTTTGAAGATGCAGAACTGAGGTCCGGAGAGGCCTGGGTAGCTGCCTAAGGGTGGGGTAGAAGCATGGTGCCGGCTCAGCCACCCTCAGGTCTCCAGGCTCCCAGCCAAGGGCTCCGATAAGGCTGCTGGGACCTGGGGGCTGTGAGCAGATGCAGACGTCCACAGTTCCCAGGGCTCTGACCCTGCCCTGTCTCCAGAGCCCACAGCCCCACCCAAAAGGCCAGGAGGTCACAGATCTGGGATCCTTTCCCGCCACCTTCAAGAAGGGAATAAAGCCACTTCCTGCTCCATCCCAGTGGCCTGAGGGTGTGGGAGGGACAGAGGCCTCCCCCAGCAGGGTAACCCTGCAAAGAGGGGGCTGACAGCCGTTCCTGCTTCCTACTGGGCAGAGGCTATAGAGGAGGTTTCCAGCGCCTCAGTGCAGGCAGCTGAGCCCAGACCCCTGGGCTGTCCTTGGAACCACTCCCAGCCCCTGCCAGCTTTGTAGCCTCTTTCTTCCCCACCCCACTTGCCTCACCTCGGCCCAAACCTGGGTACTCCCAGCTGCAGCCCTCCCCACTTTGCCTGCTCTGAGGCTGTGTAGGGCCCAGGGAGTGGGGGAAGGGGCCTGGGTCCCGCACAGGATTGAGGTGGCGTTTACAGAACCGGGGGCCAGAGCAGCTGTGGCCGTGAAGGTTCCAAGCTTGAAGTGGAAAGGGTTTTGATGCCAAGGTCCAACGCCCAGCTTATCATTGTGTAAATCTGGGCACCACACATAGCCTCTCTGTGACTCAGTTTCTTCAACCCTAAAATGGGGACATGCTTGCGGGGGTTCAGGAGATCCCCATTGAGCACGGAGAAGAGCAGGTGCTGTCCACTCAGTGACCATCTGCCGTCACCATTCCCCAAGTTATGGGAGAATTCAGCTATGGTAAGAGCAGAGAACAGGATGGCGCTGGGGCAGGAGGAGAAGGTGTGGCTGGCAGGCACTCATGAGGACAGGGTCTCAGAGCCCATTCTAGAGAATGTTCCAGAAGGCATGGGGAGGCAGGAGACCAGGTGTGCCCAGGGTGGGGACACTGGTAATGGGAGGTGCCAGAGCTGGTGACAGAAGCAATGGAGGTGGGTGCAGGGCTGGGGCAGGGCCAGGCAGTGGCTCCTGGGGTGCTGGTGGCCCAGACAGACTAGAGATGGTGGAAGGGTAGAGTGCAGTCAGGTTTGGAGTGGGTCCACTCTTTGCACAGACCAGCCCCCTAGAGGCTCCCCAGTTCCAACAGGATACTGGGCTCCATGGCTGTCACGTGGAGCTGTCTGTAGGTGGACTGGCTTCTGACCCACTCGGGGTGCCGGACCCTGCCCTGTGCCTGTAGGGGCGGGCACTCACCTGCCCTTGCAGTCCCCTCTAGCTCTCCAGCTTCCTGCTGGCCAGTCGTATCAGCTGGCTCAGCAGCAAAGGCTTCAGACCAGGGGACTTAGGTGAGAGAAATTTATTCCTCACAGTTCTGGAGGCTGGAAGTCCGAGAGCAAGGTTGTGGAAGGGTCGGCTCCTGGTGAGGGCCCTCTTCCTGGCTCATAGGCTGGGCCCTTCCTCTGTGCTTACACATCCCTGGTGCTGCCGCCTTCTCTTGCAAAGACGTGAGTCCTATGGGACCAAGGCCCTGCCTTCACAGTCTCCTTTAATATTTATCACCTCCTAAAGGCCTCGTCTCCAAACACAGTCACATTGGGGATTAGGGCTTCAACATGTGAATTTAGGAGGGCACAGTTCAGTTCATAACACAAGTCCTCCGTCGGGCCACTGGAGCCTGGGGAGATGCCCCCACTGCATGCTGAAGGGCAGGAAGTGAGGGAGGGGAGAGCTTGTTGCGGGGGTGTCCTTGCCTCTCAGGGCCACGCCCACTGCCTGCGCCAGGGAAGACCAGCAGTGACAGGGATGGTGTCCCCGCAGCCCCTGGGTTAACACTGCCTCCTCCCTTGCTCTTCTTGGCAGCACAGACCTCAGAAGGCTGGAGCCCCGGGCAGGCCCAAGCACAGAAAAAGCCAGAGCAGGGTCTGGGGTCTTTGCCTCCAGTAGGGTGTTGGGGGAGCTTTGTATTCTCTGTGGCTGGAGGCGATTTCGCCAGCTGCGGAGCGGGGCGCGGTGGGCACATTCACCCAGACTCACACCGGCCCAGGACGTGCTGAGGGTGTTGGGGCCCATCCACCCTCCACTCCGCTTTTCCAGGGGTCAGGCAGGGGGAGGCCACAGGGTGCCCAGCTTCAGCCACACCCGCCTTCTGACAATGCGAAGCCCACCTGGTCTGTGAGCTGTCGCCTCTGTCCTCACAGTGACAGAGCTGGCTTTGAGGGCAGCAGGACAGGGGTTTAGCCCTGGCTCCGGCCCTGTCGCCAGCCGGCAGCACTGGGGCCACCAGCACAGCCTCCCAGCCCTCACCAGTATTAACTGTCATCCCAAGGGGGCCACTGAGGCAGCGGGGAGCCTGCCCTGGAATGTGCCATCCTCGGGCGCAGGCAGCCCTTCATGGGCCTGCCCAATGTCTATTAATTAAGCCCCCTGGAGACTCCAGGAGCTGGGGGCCTTGGCTCAGTGCCCTCTCATAAAGTTCTGCTCTCTGGGGACCGTGGCTCTGGCAGCCACCCTGCCTCTCAGGAGCCAGCCTAGTGCCTCCTGGGTCCCCAGGGTATAGGGCCAGACCCCAAGGCTTAGTGGCAAGAGGCCCAGCAGATGCTCATTCTCCCGGTCAAACCCCTAGATGACACTCACTGGGGAACAGAGGGGCTGGGTCCAGGAAGGAGGCGTTTGCAGGGCGGGGTTGTCTCCTGAAGACTGCGAGCTAGAGGGGAGAAGCCACTGCATGCTCCCAGCCCTTCACCTCACAGTCCCGGAATGGGGAAGCTGAGTGGCCACCCACCCTTGGACGTTCCCTGAGCATTTCCCCACTCAGAGTCCAGAAGCCCCCAGCCCCAGCAGACCCTACAGCGCTACCTGCAAAGGCCAGACCGGCCAGCCAGGGAGGTGGGCTAGACAGTGCCCTGGCCACCACAGGGCAACCCCTCAGCTCCACTTCGCCACCCAGAGGAGCTGGCCCTGGCCACTCTCTCAGAGCAGGAGGTGACATGAAGGGAAGGTGGCAGGATGGGAGTGCCCATCAGCCGGAAGGCCACGGGAGTCAATGGTGAGGGGCAGAGTGAGCAAGGGGCTCAGGGTAGCCCAGAAAACCCAGCCGGGCCCCCCCCCCCACGGGCACCCAGGAACCGCCCTGGCTTTGCTGGAGGACCTGCCATGGCTTTGCCAGAAGACCCTGGGACTGTCTGGAGCATCCTCCCAAGGACTCGCCCCTAGTCAGGAAAAAATAGGGCCCCGGAGTCAGCAAGGGCTTCCTGGGGGCCCAGGTCAGCCTGGACGGTGGCAGGACTCGGCGAGGTGGGGATGGGGCTTGGAGGATGTGGCAGAGTTCCCATGGTGTGTGTAGAATGATATTCCCTCCAGACCACGGTGCCTTCTGGGCTCTGGAGAATGCACCTGTGTTCCCAGGAGCTTTAGGGGTACCCAGGTGGTGTGATGGGGAGCAGGAGCCAGTTGTTCCCAAACCTCGCCCTTTCTCCCTGCAGGCACTGGCAGAGCTGGGGGTGATGGGGCTTCAGTGGAGCCCGCCAGGACTGGGGACACAAGCCTAGGCCTGTACCGTCTGCAGCCCCATCTCCAGGTCCCGGCCTGCCCCAGCCTGCCCACCCCCAGCCTGTCCCCCAAATGCCCAGGGCTGTGGCCTGCCCAGACTTGCCAGGGAGCTCCTGTGCCCTTCTTTCTCCTGGCCTCTCAGAAGCACTCCCTGATCCTCTCCCCACTTCCCTCCTCCCCTCTCATCCCCACCTCGGGCCCACCAGCTCCCACCCTGCTATGCCCATGGACCCCAGGGTCAGCTTTTATGCACACTCAGGTACTCAGGACACCCCACACCAGCCATTGGATGGGGCCGCCTCTGCCACCTGCTCCAGCCACCTGGCAGATCCCACTCGGCTCACACAGAGCCTTGGCCAGCATGTGGCCGCAGCCCCAACTGCAGCGGAAGGTATCGGGGAGTCGAAGGCAGAGGGGAAAGGACGGGATGGCGGGTGAACCACACGGGGAGGAGCCTGGAGCTCCTTCTGCATTTTCTTAGGAAGTGCTGCAGGGACCCACTGGATTCTCTACAGCGCCCAGTAGCCCATTAGAAGATACAGAGGCAGCAATATTCACAGGGCCAGAAACAACTGCAGTTCACCCATGCTGTGCACCAGCTCCCACACCACCCATGCCACGTGCCTGCTCTCCACCGAGCCCTGCAAATGCCTCGGCACATCAGCAAGCACAGGCCTCCTGCAACGTCATTTTGCAGAAGGGAAACTGAGGCACAAAATACTCCACTGCCACCAAGTCACCCAACTCAGTGGTAGAGCTGAGATCTGAATGCAGGCCGCCTGGTCAAGCCCATCTGTGAACTAGAACCCCGCCGCCCTGGGCAGAAACAAGGCTGTATTGACGGTGCTGGGAGAGATGAGGGGAGGGAGGGATGGAGGCCGGAACAGAGCCGGCTGCTCCCCTCAGAGGGCTGGGTGTCACCCCAGTTTTGTCTGTGGGTTTGTGGAGAGCATCACTGAAATTTCTAACTTGACAGAGTGGTTCCAGGGCTCATATAGAAGCATAAAGAGGTGAAAATAGCTGATATTTCTAAAGGCAAAAGCTAACGAGTGGGGTTGCACTGCCCAGCGTGAAGCTGCAGCCACCATTCTCCACACTCTCCTGGCCCTTGGCACAGGATGAGCCTTGCAGACGGAGGCGACACCAAGGCCTTCCCCTGCGCCCACACCCAGCGTCTGGAGCTGCTGGAAATATGTGTCCCCACCATGAAACTGATGCTGCTGTTCATCCCATTTTGTGTATGAGGAGACTGAGGCACGGGCCCACAGTTGCCAGCTGGGATTTGTCCCAGGCCACCTGGCTCAGGTCACCGGAACATGTGACAACACATGTGGTCAGGGAGAGGCAGCACCACAGTCAGATACAATGCTGACAGGGACGGCAGAGTTCCACAGGCAATGAGGCCCCCGGGGTAAAAATGAAGCAGTTTGAAAACAAAACCAGGAAGAGTGTCTGGCCATCCCGGGCCTGAGTTTCTGCCCATGGGCAGCTGCCGGACAAGCCCTCTGGTGTGTCAGCGGGTCAGGCTGAGCCAGACGTGGAGATGAGGCTGAGAGCCGGAAGCAAGGGCTTTGTCTCTAGAAGACGCAGGGGTGGTTCACAGGCCGCTGGGGACCCAGGTCACAGAGCCTTTCCCCCAGCTCCAGCCTGGCTGGGGAGAGCAAAGGCTGCAGCTGCACAGGGCCCCTCCCTGCCTGCCCAAAGCTGCTACCAGACAGCAAGCTGGGGAGAAAACTGCAGCCGACGACGGAGAGGGACGACATTTTGCAAGTGAAAACTCAAATCTATGAGAAAAGCACTCGCCCCGCAGTAGGAAAGCAGGCAAAGAACTAGAAAGACAATTTACAAAAGGATCTGAAGGTCCTCACTGCACTCATCCTGTAAGGTGGACTTGGGGCCTCATCTGGCCCCGCTGCCTGTTTTTGTAAATAAAGTTTTAATAGCACATAGCCACGCCCACCGGTGGACACATCGTCCCTGGCTAACCTTACACCACCTTGGCAGAGTTGAGTCGTTGTAACAGAGATCGTGTGACCAACGAAGCCAGAACGATTTACTCTCTGGCCCTTTAGAGAAAAGCGTGCTAGCCCTTGCTCTAAGAGTTTCAGTGAAGAGACGCAAGATGCAGAAATGAACCTAATTGTGTGGTCTTCCGTGCTGGGGAAGCCGAGGAGAAATGGAAGTATGAGCCGGTTCCCTGCTCCAGAAATCGCTCTGATGACACGTATCACGGGGATTAAAAAACATTCCTCCCCCCTTGACCTCATAATCCTCCTTCCAGGATTCTCTCCCTAAAGAACAAATCAGAGTTATGCACAAACAAGCTAATCACAGCCTTATTTATAATAGTGAGAAATTGGAAACAGACCGCATGTGCAGCATTTGCGGGATGTTGGTTCTTGTTATGCACATTAGGGACAATTATGCAGCTTTCAGTCATCCCTCAGTGACCCAGGAAAATGCCCCATGTACAAGGTTACTGGAGACAAACATGGTCCCAGTTTCTGGGGTGGGAGGTGGTGCCCAAAACATCACCTTACAGAAAATGCCCGGAAACGTGTCTCTGGAGGGTGGACTTAGAGATATGTTTTTGAAACAGATTTTTTCATATTTTTCAAAATTTCTCCCGTAAGTGGTTCTTACCTCCATAACAGAAAAAGAGTAAACAATCAATGTGGAGTGAGGAAGAAGAGAGGGGAGGGAGAGAGGAAGGGAGGGAGGTACGCAGGGAGGCAGCAAGGGGACTTCCCTGCTGAGGACGCTAGCCCCTCCGTAATTTGTCTGTCCTTCCCAGCCTGCCTGGGGCCACATGGGCCACTGTGCCCAGTGAAGCCTGGCTTCCTTGTCTGTGGTGCCAGCCATGTGGGAGGGTAGGCGACCCGCCTTGGGCTGTGTAACGCAGGCTTGCCTCTTCCTTACCCCGGTTGTGCCAGTGGCTAGGCACCAGGTAACCTGTCTGTGCTCCCCACCGAGCAGCTGGGCCGTGTCTGCTTTCCGAGGAGGCTGCAGGTAACCCTTCTCTAACCTGCTCAGCCCCCAGCTCCATCTTCCACCTGTCCTGGGGGATCCCCATTCATTCTCTCCGTGGGCATCATCAGAGGCTCAGCTGTACCAGACCACTGCCCGGGAGTACGTTCGGGCTCAGGTTTCCCTTGAGGGTGGCCCCCACCTGACCCCTCCCCGCCCCTCTCTTGTGCCCTGAGAGAATAGCGTGCCCCCAGAGACAGTAAAAGCCTGGCTTGCGTGCTGGCTCCGGTGACACACAAAGGCCTCTGCTTCTCCACTCTCAGGCCAGCCCGAGAGGGACGGCACCACCGGGACAGCACCAGCGGGGGCATGGGGAGGGGTGACAGGTTGGGCGGGGTCCCTGGGGCTGGGGCGTAGCCCCTCTCTGCAGGCCCCACAGTCTGTGACCGTGCAGGGAGGGTGCTGGGAGTCTCGGCTCTTTCGGAAGGCGCCAGTGTTTCCTTGTCACAGAATGAAGTAAATGGGACGATGAAGGGGCAGTGTTTAAATGGCTGCTTTAGCCCGTTTGGAAGTCTGCTAATTATTCTCTTGAGGAAAGAAATGCAGGTTCATTATTATAATGAGCTTTGGGCAAAATATTTCATCGAGCCTGACAAGCCGCAGCGACGCCTCGAACGTGGCCGGCTCTGAAAGGCCTCCTATTCTGCTGGAAGCTAATTGGCCCGGGGTCTTCCCAGCCCTGTGCTGTTTGTGTGCTATTTTAATTCGCTTATGAAAAGCCCCCGCTTTGATGTCCGGGACCAGATAAGGCCGGGAGGGGACCCTCCATGGAGAGCGGGACTGTGCCGCCCGCGGTCGCTGCACTGGGCCTCCTCGCCCCCCCACTCCGGGCCCGGGGCCAGCGCGATGTCATGAGGTAACTGAACAAACAGTCCTGCTGAAAAATATGCTTTTGTTTCACTAATAAATCCCTCCTCGGAACACTCCCGGGCCGGGCCCTCCTCGGGCCCAGCCTACCAGGCCTTCCCGCCCAGTGCCTCCGCAACCCGCGCCAGGACAGCCGGCGGTGGGCACAGGCGGGCGAGGGGCACCCCCACCCCCTCCAGGGCCCCCCTTCCCTCAGCCTCCTCCCCACCCACCCGAGCTGCCTGCCTTTCCCGCACTCTCCTCCCTGACTTCCTCCCACCTACCGGCCTCTTCCGACCTCTCTCTGCCTCTTTCCCCCATCACGATACTCCAGTGGCCACCTTCCCTGCCCACCATGCCTCCTGGCCCCCAATCCGGTCACCAACTTGAGGCTGCCCCTGACAAGCCCTGGCTGCAGCATGAGGGAAGCAGCGGTAGAGAAGGCCAAGTTTGGGCACCTTGCACAGCCTCCTGGAGCCTCGGTTTCCACATCTGTAAGGATGAGACAGGAACGGTCTCTCTGGGGGCAGGGCCGGTGGTACCTGGAGCCCTCCCCACTGAGCACCTGGCCCAGTGCCCGGCACGTGGCAAGTGAAGGCGGCTGCTTCCCGCCCCTCTCATGGACACCACTGTGGGCACCACTTGGGCACCCTGTGGGCTTATTTTCCCTGCCCACTGCCAAGCACCAGACCAAGATCTGATGCCATCTGCCCAGGGCATTGAGGGTGAACCCATCCAGGCTGGCCCGCCTTCCAGCCCTCCCCCAGCACCCACCAAGCCCCTGCGATATCCCAGTGGAAGATAATGGAGGTGTTACGGGGATGGGCTAGAACTCGGTCCTGGCATCACAGAGCTACCCCGGTCAAAAATATACCATGTAATTACAGACCAGGAAAATTACTGTGCAGGAGCAAAGCAGGGCACTGTGCCGGAGAGGAACAGGGGTGGTCAGGGAAGACCTCCGAGGGAGGGGCATTTGAAAATAGCATTCAGAGTTGCTATTAATAGGCTCTGATGCAGAACTGAGCAGAGAAGAAAACAAAAGAGGACCATAATATCTCCACAGAGAACTATCATTAATTTTTTAAATGGGAGTCCTCAGGTAGGTTGGTTGATTGAGTGATTGATTGATTGATAATCTTGGTTCTATTTGAATTTCTAGAAAATTCCAACAGTACAGAAAGGTCTGAAATGAAAGGTAAATACCTTCATGACCATGCCCCCTTTCCCTAGGATACCCCTTGTTATCCTAGAAATACCCATCCTTAGTGTGAGGAGAGCAGCATTCCAGACGCTTCTCTGTATGTTGCATAGAAAAAGGATGGTTAGATACATGGGCAGATTAATGGATGGACAGATTGTTGTATGGAGGATTAGGGGAGGGATAAATGGATGGATGGATGAACACATGGACAATGGGTGGGTAGATGGGTGAATAGATGGGTGGACAGATGGAAGGATGGATGGATATATGGATGCATGGAGAGACAGAGAAATAGATGCAGAGATGGAGGGAGGGAGGGAAGGAGGGATGGATAAATGGAGGAATGGAGGAATGGATGGATGGAGGGGTGGGTAGGTGGGTGGGTAGGTGGGTGGCCAGACAATGGATGTGTGAGTGAGTAGATGAATGAGTGGGCAGACAGACAGACACACCATCAGAAGCAAATATAAATATGGAATCAAGGGATGCCTGCAGCTTTTGAATTGTTGATTTTTTTCTTTTTTTAAGAAGAAACCAAAGTAAAACAGAAGGAATTGCTGAATTCAGATAAATGTTTCTTCACCAAAAGAGAAATTCATTTCTAAATGTCACTTTCAGGTTAAGGAAAATAAAATGTGGGACGCTGGACTCATCGTGGGTTTTTGCGGTCTTCTCTCAGCTTTGTGTGGTAGCCAGCGACGCTGCAACCCCGCCCCCGCAGCCTCCTGGTGCAGCACGTGTTCATTTATGGGTTGTTGTTACCGTGGCATTGGTCCAGGTTTGTGATACTTGTGCACAGCTTGGGGGCTCTGCTTCCCTCTGTTTGTTCGTCTTGGTGCTGTGTATGAAGGTGGCAACAGACTCCCCATAGTCCTCTCACCACAGACACCTCTTCTCAGTTCTTCGTTTCCAGTTGGACTCATCTCCTGACTGGTTGGGTTTCTGCCTCGGTCGCTGACTCCAGAGGGCCCCACGGCTCATGCCTGCTTCCCTGCTATCCTCCTGTGCACTGTTGGCCTTTATCATCTCCACCACGTGCTCAACACTCCAGGCCAGAGCCCTTCTCTCAAATCCCCTTTGGTTCTAGCCATGTTTCCCTGAGCTCTTCCCTCTCTGTCTCTAATTGATGTGTTTTCCTCCCAAACCCTCCTTCCTTGCATAATTCTGCAACTGACCTTTTTTCTGGCCATCCTAGATTGGGTTTACTGTTCCCTGGTACTCAGACCTGCTTAATGCTCATTTCTTCAGTTTTCTGGGGAAGCCTCAGGGGCCTTACTGATAAGAACTGTGTGGAAGGTAAGCATTCAAAGTTCTTACATGGTGAAAATATCTTCATTCAACCATGGTGCCCTATTGATAGTTTAAGTGGGTATAGAATTTGGAGCTGAATGTAATTTTCCTTCAGAATTTTGAAGACCTCGTCCTATGGTTTTCTAGCATCCAGACTTACTATTCAGAAGTCTTATACTTGCTTTAGTCTCATACTTTTGTAAGTGGCCTTTCTTTTCTTCCTGGAAATGTTTAGTATCTACCATCTGGACTCAGGGGTTTCAATTTCCCAGAGAAGTTCCCTGTGGATGGCTTTGTTCATTGACTGTTCTGGGCACTTGGTGGGCTCTTTGGAAACTTTAGTCCTTGAGCTCTGGAAAGGTCTCTGTATGATTTCTCATCATGGAGGCCACCATCTCTGTTCTCTCTTTCTGAAATTCCTTTTAAGTCAGACTGAAGACATTTTTAATGACACTTTGATGTCTCAACTTTCTTCCCCTTTTTTATGGCATTATATTCTTAACTTTATCTCTTCAGAGTTCTAGGAAATGTTTTTAGCAGTCCTGTTTTTAATATCCCAGAGCACACGCTTGCTCTCTGACCGTGGTCATGGCATTCCGCCCTCATTTGATGGGCACGACAGCTCCTAGGATCTTTCTGGAGACTCCAGATACATCTTATATCTTAAGTTCTGCTTAATTCCTTGATCTTCTGTTTATGTTTGGCCAGCCAGGCCCCTCTCTCTCATGTTCTGAATGTTTTTCAATGTTTGCTCGGGATCTGTGCATGGATGGGCCTGCTGGCATTTAGGATGTGTTGACAATGACTGGGGGAGGTGCCTGTCATTACACTGAGGAACCCCATATGTTAGAGCTCTGAGGCTGCTGCATCTGAGAGCTTGGGCTCGAGGTACAGGGCTGGCAGCCGGGAGTCCCACCTGTAGGACGCTCTGCTGTGGCAGAGGGACAGGACATGGACCTCATGCTCAGCCCCTTCCCATCGTCTTGGTGCTGTGGGCCTGATGTGTGCCTCCACAAGGACTCCCGCCTTCCCAGCATGGCATTCAGAGCAGCAGATGGCTTAGACTCACCCCCGCCCAGTCTTGGCACCCTTACAGCCCCGGCGAGACCCGGGTGGGCGTGGACCCTAGCGTCCCTTCACCCTCAGGCTGTGCACCTCCGCAGTGCCGTGTCCTGTCTGGAGCCTGTCACACCCCTGTACAGCTACCCCAATCCAAATGGAGCCTCCCCCAGGAAGCCCCTGGTGGGAATCCGTCCCCACGACCCCTGTCCGGCTTCCCTGGCTCATTGTCCCTGTTACAACCCAGATTTCCCTTATCGCAACTGGTCCTAGCCTGTGACCTCCTGGGGTGGGGAATCATCTCTGCAAACACAGCTCCTCCACCCTTATCAGTGCTTTGTGAAGGCAGCAGAACGTTCTCCTGAGCCAGTGTCTGGGTCACTTGAGCAATGGCTGCCAAGTCCATGGGCCTGCACGCATGAGGCTGTGCCTGTGTCTGTGCCGCTGGAGACCTTCTTGAGGTTCACTGCCCTAAAGGCCGCATGAGGGGACAGAAGGTGAACACAGGGCCCTGCTTGGTCTGACAAGCCCAGGCGGGGCCCTTGCCGAGCGTCAGGGTGGCTGGCAGCCACCTTCTGTGATCGTCCTCCTTCTGGGCTGCGGTCTAGGGCTGCACATTCAGGATGGGGATGTCCCAGTGGGCGCGCAGCACAAGGGTCAGCAGACCCCTGGCTGGAGGAGGTCAGTGTGGGGGGCTGCGTGGGAGACGGTGCAGCAGTGGGCCTGGGAGCTGAGCAACGGTGGCTGGGATGGGTGGAGACCACCAAAGAGGAGGGGCCGGCGAAAGCCAGGCTTCCTGCAGGCTCAAGCCTGGAAAACGGTGCTCAGTGAGCAACACATTCCCGTTCTACAGTTTCCTGAGCTCCCGAGTGCCCGCCGCAGGATGACAGTGGGACAGTCCTCACAGGGGCATGCTCAGGCCCTGCCCCAGGCAGACCCCACGCCCTGGCACGCAGCCCCACCGGCTGTGCCGCCTCTCGTTCCTGTCCTCCTGGCACCGCCGGCCACCCCTCAGCCCAGCCCTCATGGTTCTCTAAGCCGCCGCCTCCTCAGGAAGCCTCCCAGGCACCCATGCTCCCTGCACTGACCCCCAGACCCCAGCTTTGGCCATGCACTCCCAGACGGCTGGTCCCCACACAAACTTTCTGTTTCAAGGAACAGAAACACCCCTGAAACTTGTCTAAGAAGGAAATGTGTCAACTCACATACATGAAAAGCCTGAGTCCCTCCTCAAAGTCCTCCCCTCCCTCCTTCTCTCTCCTTCCTTCTTTCCCCCTTCCCTCCTTCCCTCCCTCTCTGCTTCCTTCTCTCCTTCCTCCCTGAGACCTGGGACGCCGAGGAGGGTTCCGTTCCCTCCCCCACCCTGGCAGTGCTCGGGGGCTCCAGTTGAAAATGATGGGGGACACATTTGCATCACAGCCTGCCCGGCCGGCTCTGTGGCCCCTGATCTTCCTACTGCAGCCTCTGCCGGGGCCGGAAGGGCATTTCCGGGAGGCGGGAACAGCATGTATGAAGGCAGAGCTCCTTCCCGGAGAGGAGGGCCAGCCCCGTCCCCAGGGGCTCCCGGCTTTCTCTCTCCCCCTACATTCCTGTCTCCATGCAGCAGCCAGAGGGACTTTAAAACATAAACCAGACCACAGCACTGCCTGCTCAAGCCCCCCATGGCCTCCCTCTTCCCTAGGAAGCAATCCAGGCACCCTTCCATGGCCGTGGGCCCCACGCCCCCGAGGCCCCACGCCCCCGGGGCCCCATGCCTGCCCTTGCAACATCCCCTTCCTGACTCCACCCAGCCTCCTGGGGGCTTCCGCCTCAAGGCCTCTGTGCCTGTGTGAGTGGCACCCTGGGGTTGTGCCATGGCCAGCCCTCAAACCATCTGAAGTCTGCTGTTGGCACCTGCCCTCTCCTGGCTGCAAAGCTGCCCCCTCATGGCCTCAGGTCTCTGCCCCAGCCTCCAATCCCTCATTACTGCCCCAGCCTGTGCCTGTGCCTGGAGGCTGTGGCCTGGCTCTCCAGCTGGAACAGAAGCTCTGAGAAGACAGAGCTGGCCAGCACCATCTCTCCTGTGAGAACCCTGTGCCTAGAACGGAGCCTGGTACAGAGGAAGAACCCGACAGACTGTGAGCCCTGTCTTCCTCTTGGCACCATGAGTCACCTGTCAAACTGAGGGGCTGGCAGAGCTGGAGGGAGTTCCATCCCAGCCCCAAGGTGCCTGGAGTAGCTTATGGAGGTCACTGATGGCCTCAGGATGCCAGCAGGCCCTCTGATGCCCAGGGCTCATTCAAGGGCATCTGCCCTGTGTCCTCATGCACCTCCATTCAGGGAACCTGGGCTCCCCACTCTCACAGGGGTGGAGACCTGCACCTCTTTTTCACCCCCAAACCCGCCTGCCCGTCAGTGCTTAGAGCAAATGCCCCTCCCCCGCCATCTTTTCATGACTCTCCCCCTTCCTCAACCCTGCGCCTGGTCACCAAGTCCTGACAACACCTCCAGCCCCTGTCTCTATGGTCCCCTCCTTGATCTGGAGCCATTCAGCCACATGGAGTATGTCCTCTGTCGAGGGGGCAGGGACTCAAAGGATGAGAGAAGGAACAGAGGGGAGGACCAACATCTCGGCTGATCCTGGTCTATTTTTAGTCGGTGGTGGGCTGTCACTCCGGAGGCCAGTGACTGCGTCATCAGTGCCTTTTGATCTTGTTGCCGCAAGATACACAGGAGGCAGCTGCTCACTGCTTGTGGAAAGAATGAGGGCGGGCACATAGGCCTGGGGTGTGGGGAGCATTAATGAGTGTGAGTGAGTGGCGGATGAGTAGGTAGATGGACGGGGAGCTGCAGGGAGGGAGGGTTGCAGAAAGGGATGCGTGGAAGGATGGTTGATGGATGGATGGTTAGATGGATGAAGAGATAGATGAATGGATAAAGAGGTGAAAGGATGAATAGAGAGATGGAGGGAAGGAGGGCTGAATAAAGAAATGGATGGATGGATGGATGATGGATGGATGGGTGTGTGGGTATGTGGATGGAGAGATGGATGAATGGTTAAAGAGGTGGATGGATGAATGGAGAGATGGAGGGAAGGAGGGATGAATAAAGGGATGGGTGGATAATGGATGGATGAATGGGTAGGTGGGTGAATGGATGGATAGATGGTTGAGTGGGGGGGTAGATGGAGAGATGCATGAATGGATAGAGGTGGATGGATAAATGCAGAGATAGAGGGAAGGAGGGCTGAATAAAGGATGGATGGATGGTGGGATGGATGGATGGATGGATGGATAGATGGATGGATGGATCGATGGGTGTGTGGGTGGGTGGAGAGATGGATGAATGGATAAAGAGGTGGATAGATAAATGGAGGGAAGGAGAGCTGAATAAAAGGATGGTGGGTGGGTGGATGGATGGATGGGGAAATGAAGAGATGGGTGGGTGGATGGATGGATGAGTGGTGAATGAATGGATGGATGGGGAGATGGAGGGAAGGGAAGGCTGGATAAAGAGACGGCTGGGTGGGTGAGCTGATGGAGAAATGATGGATAGGTGGATGGGTAGATTGAGAAATGATGGATAGGTGGATGGGTAGATGGATGGAAGGAGACAAGGAAGGAAGGAAGGAAGGAAGGAAGGAAGGAAGGGTGGAGGTAAGGGAGGGAGGGAGAGGGAGCAAGCAGGCTTGGATGAGTAGCTAAAGCACCTCAAGCAAGGGTGTCTCCCTTAGAAATACATGTGCCTCCAAGTCCTCGAGGCTGGCATCCCCTCCTGCTCCATCTGCCTCTGCCTGCTGGGCAGACCAGTCTGCTGTCCTACCAAGGCCTAGGTCTTGACTCTGGACTCTTCCATGCTCATCAGAGGGTACTGTTGGAGCTTCCTGGTCAGGCTGACCCAGCTGCCTCTGGAGCCTGGCCTGGGATCTGGAGAGAAAGCACCTGTGCAGACGGCCCCAGCGCTATGCCCTTCTGAGGCCTGCTCTGCACACACAGCTTTCCTCATCCCGGCCTCATGCACTGTGGGCAGGAGTTGTCCTAGCAACCATCATCCAGGCACCTGCTGCGTGCTGAGCACCATGCTGGGTGCTTCCTGTGCTCTCAACAGCCTTATGTGGTCAGTACCAATCCCTCCCCAAATTACCCCCATGCTCAGGGTGTCACTGAGGGTCCCAAGTCTGGGGTGGCCAGGTCACAGCTTGAACCTGGGCAGCCTTTATTCTCTAGGGGCCTTGGGGGTGTCTAGGCTGCCACCACAGCATCCACACTCCCCACTAGAGCCCACATAGGTCTTATGGGTGCCACAGCAGGGACCCCACTGGACCTCTGTGCTTTCTGGTGGGGGGCTTGTCAGGGAGCTCATGGGCACCTCTGGGTTCTAAGAAGCTATGCTGAGGCCCACAGGGTAGTTCTGAGTTCGGGGGACCCTCTCCTGGCCCTGTGGGGTCGGAGGAGGTCCTGGGAGCCCACCTCCTGTAGATCCAAACACCTGATCTCAGCTCAGGATCGCCACTCCAGTGCCCCATCCCAGAGCCTTTGAGAGTGGGGACAGGGTGTCCTGTTGTAGTTGCCAAGCCCAAGAAAGATGAGGCACCCAGGATGCCTGACAGTAGAGTTGCAGGGGGGCAGGCACCATCGCCCCCAGCCCCAGGCTGACCCCAGTCCCTCCCTATGCAGGCAGAGGGGCAATTGGAAGAGGCTGGAGACTATTCAGGAGAGGGTGGGAGCAGACACGGGAGTAGGATGGGGGCCCTGGAGGTACTGGGTGGAGCTGCCCCCAGCCCTTCCTGCTGGCCTCCCCAGAGCTCCAGGCTCTGAGGCCACACCCTCACCCAAGGCAAGTTGCTCAGGGGGTCTCCAGGCTGTATCTAACAGCTGCCTGTGCCGAAAAATTAAGCACCGCTGAGTCGCCGCACACCTGTCAGGGTGGAGGGGACTTGGGGGACCAGCCAGCTGGATATGTTCCCTTGCAGGCGGGCAGGGCTCTGGGGAGTCCAAGTGTGCACACAGTCCTGGGTGAGGGCTCCGTTAGATGAATGTGGACGGCTGGCGGCCGGGGCTTGGGAGATCAAGAAGTCCCTGAGGAAGAGGACAGTAGCCAGGGGCAAGACCTCACACGCCTCTGCCCATCCTGGGAAACTCACCATGGCATTGTGGTTGAAGGGTCAGTGGCCACCAGAGAGTTCCTGCTGCAGTGTGGAAAAGACAAACAGGCGAGTGAAGTGGATAAAGATTCAGGTTGTGGGAGGGAGACTTGAAGGGCAAGTTGGCCAAGACTAAAAAGTGGAGTCAAGCTCAGTGCTGGTGACGATGTTGGGGAGAGGGGCCTCCAGCGCCGTGGGGGAGAATTTCAAGAGCCTTTTGTGAAAATGGTCAGGCTGCTGAAAGTGAGACCACACTCACCCTGTGGTCCAGTGATCTCCTTCTGAGAATCCGCCCTGGAGCAGTAACACCCTTGGGACTGAGAATGGCTTCTGGGTTGTGCGTCATCGCTGTCCAGGAGTGGTGAAAAGCTGGACTCTGACTGCCTGTCATCCAGAGGGAGCAAACAGCCACCCTGTGGTGAAGCCACACCACATATGATGAGGGGCTGGAGGCAGCAGAAAGGGGGCTATAGGACCCTTTGACTCAAGGGCTAACCATGATGTTTCATTAAGGGAGAAATGCACTTGCTGCTCCTGGAACATTCTGGCTCACTCCCGCCTCAGGCCCACTGCCCTGGCTGGACTCCCTGCACTGAACGCTCCTCCCAGCTCATGCTTTCCAAAGTCCCCTGCTCAGGAGGCCTTCCCTGAGCCCCTGCCCCCTCCATTTCAGACATCTCCATCTGATGTCTGAGCCCTGAACAGACACAGGTGTCTGTTCAGGGCTCCTCAAATGCACAAATACATGTCTGTGACCACAGCCCAACCCCTGGGCAGTGGCTGCCCCTCTGCCTCTGGAGGTCCCCTCCAAAACCTTGGTCCCTGTCCGCAGAGGGTGTCAGGGCTTGAGGTCAACAGGGAGGTCTCAGGGCAACAGAGCCCAGTGGCACTCCTGACCCCAGGAGACAGAGGGAACCCACCCTCACCCTAGTCCACATGCCCGACCCATGACCCAGGCCTGTGGCGCCAGCCTGCACCCGGCTCTGCTCCACAGGCCAACTCTGCGCACGCTCCTTTCAAGGGTTAACGGTGCAAGCTCCTCACGGCACCAGTGCGCTTGCCTTTGACATGAAAATGTTTTTGCAGCAGGCTCGGATGCCAGCATTTTTGTGGTTGCAGTCAGATGTTTTTAACTACGTTGGACAGAACCCACGGCGGCCCTTTCCGTGGCTTCAGCCAGTTTCTGAGCGCTACCTTGAACCCCTGTTGCACCCCAGGAGGAGAATCACACCAGTGCCCCCTGACCCCCAGCCTTGTGCAGACACTGATACCCTTAGGATGAAGCTGACCCCAGTCGTGGCAGCCACCCCAGCAGTCAGGGAAGGACCTGCTGGGGCATTTCAGATCCTGAGCAGCATGTACCCTGTGAAAGAACAGGTTCCCCAATTTTGGTTCATGGTACCTGAGATGACGGCTTCAGATGATGTCCCTGGCCAGGGAGGTGGAGGACGCTGGGCAGAGCCCTGGGCATTAACTCAGGGCCATCACAGAGGTGGTGAGAGCTACCCCGGGTCTGGGGACTGTTAGCACAGACCTGAGCCGAGGCCCCCTTCTCACAGGGGCCTACCCACTTACGACCCACCTCCTCTCCTCCATGGCAAAGGTGATACATTAGACTCAAAGAGACATGATATCCCCTTGGGCTGCAACTTAAATTCCAAGGAGAGATCCTGAATCCAGAGTCACATGTATGTTAGAAACCTCTGGCACTCTCCCCTCCCCAGCCAGCACCTACCAGCTTTGCGCAAATGCTCCACATTTGCATTTTAAAAGCCCTGAGAAGGCCTGCAGTGAAAAAAACTAACTTCGTATAACCCAACTATTCCCAAACTCTATCTACAAAATATTTTTCTCTTTTATCATTAAAGAATATGCATTAACACCTAAAACCCACTATCCTGGCAAAAAAGTGGCAGGATTGTCTGAAAAACACATGGCCAGCCACCCTGCACCCTGAGTTCCACAACATCTAAACCCAGTGTCTGCTGGCCCTCAGAGTGGGAGCGCGTGCCCCAACTTCCGAGCCCTAGGAAAGGGTCTTGTCTGCTCTTCCCCTCAGTGTCAGGTGACCCAAGAGTGTGGGGGTCAGGAATGGCGTCCTTGTGCCCTTGTCACCCACTCCTGTGGGTACACAGCTTCCCTTTCTGCAAAGTCACACCCCAAGCCCTGGCTTGAGCATGTACACAGGCTGCAGCCCGTGTTCCTGGAGCCACCGTCCCAGGTGTGGCTAAGGCCCCCACAGAGTGTGCATCCTAAGGTGGTTCAGAGGTCCTCAGAAAGTGCCAAGAGGCCTTCCTCAGAGGAAGAGCAAGGGTAGGTGCCTCTGGCATGAGCCAGATGATGGGAGCTGTCACAGGACTTTGCCACCCGGGGTGAGGGGCCTAGAAACCCCTCTCCACCAGATGCCTTACACCCCCCATCCCCACACGCACACAGCTTGGAGGCTGGAAGCCCCCGGAATGCGGCCCACCCTGTCTCCAGTTGTTCCCTACCAGCCCAGCTGCTGGTCCCTAACCGGGCCCACCTGTTGGGTCCTTAGCACCAGCTGCCCAGAGCCCCCAGCCCCTACCCTAGTCTGATGACCCAGGCCTTTCCCCCTGCCCAGGCTAGCCTTGTGCTCAGCTGCCAGCACAGCCCCCACCACACACTCCCCAACAGGTGTCTCCACAACTGCCAGGAGACAGCTCAGCTTAGCTGCTCTTCCCCCAACCCCCAGGCCCAGCAGAATCACATCTAGGAGAGTGGGCCACATGCCTCTTGGAAGGCAGGTGGCACAAGAGGTTCATCCCACCCTCCAGCATTACCCAGCCCCACAGGACCCACATCCTGCTCCCAGCTCCAGCCTGAAAGGAGCTAGTCCTCTCCAGCCCCTTTGAAAAGACCAGCTGGACATTCTCCAGGGAGATTCTGCCCTACAGGATTAGGGAGTACCCTCACCTGGCCTTTGTTCATTGGTTCATTCATTCATTCATTCATTCAACAAGTATTTGCCAAGCATCCCTATGCTCCAGGCATCAGTGGTAGGCCAGACAGCCAAAGTCCCTCCTCCCAAGGGCTGTGGCCCACTAGGAGGACAGACAATGACAGAGCATTGTGTGCTCTATGCCTGCCCATGTGCTGAGGAAGGAGCAGGAGAGGAAGACAAACCAGAGTTTAAGTGAGGAGTGGGCAAGGCTTTTATGAGGCCCAGCCCACCCTCCCCTGGGCAAGCTGGGGATTTGGGAATGGGAGACATCCAACACGTGTCAGCCCATACATGAGGGTAGAAGTCCAGTTGAAAACACACCTGAAACAGCAGGGTCCAAACACCAGGTGCCGAGAGCCTTCCTGACATTGAACCTTCCTTGAATTCCTGAGGTAAACCTTATGTGATCTTGACTCAAGTCCAGCTGCTGATGCATTTTTAGGTTTTAGCATCTGTGTTCATACCTGATTTGGGCCTAGAATTTTCTTGTGTTTGCTTGAGCAGTTATGGTGCCTGGGGTTTTACCTTGTCAGATAAGTTGAGCAACCTCCCCTTTTGGCTAGTGCTCTGGGATGGATGGGATGGATGTCGTCTGCTTTTTTAGGTAATTATAGAAATCACCCCCAAAAACTAGACTGGAAACCTTTTAGAGGAGGGTAGGTAACTGGCATTTGTGTCTCCCCAATGGGTTTATGTTTCTTAGGATTTTCTACCACATAAGCCACTTTTGGTATTTTTTGCCTTGAAACTTATCCATCATATTGTGTTTTCAATTTTATTGATATGAAAGTATATATCATAATCACTTACAATTATTCAATTCCCTCGGTAGCAGTAGTATTCATTCCTAATTCTTATTTGTTACTTTACTTGCTTAAGGTTTATCTACTTTACTGGCTCTTCAAACAACCTGCATTTGGTTTTATTGGTCAATTCTTTTTCATAAAATATTTTTCTATTTTGCTAATATCTTCCTTTGACTTTGTTCATTCTTTTCTTTGTATTTGTTTTGGTGTTCTTTTTCTAGCTTCTTGAGTTGAAAGCTTAGCACATTTATTTTCAATCTTTTTTATTTTCTAAAATTGCCATCGATACTTCTCCAAATACCCTATAGGAAGCATCCCACACTCTTGGCATGTAATCAGCTCCTTGTAAATCCATCCTAAGATTTTCTCTCTGCCTTATTTTCTCTTTAATCAAAGAGTTATTTAGAAGGGTACTTTTTAAACTTCAAGATGTATCCATCTGTTGCTATTTTTATTAATAATTTTCTATTTTACATCAAGGTACAGATTTTTAGAAATTTATGGAGTTTTCCTTTGGTGCCTAATAGGATCATTTCTGTGACCTTTTTGTATATGTGTGGAGGCGGTGGAGTCTTTTCTGTTAATTGTGTTAAACTTGTTAGTGGAGTTCTGCGACTCCTCCACCTCCTGACTTACCTTGCTGTTTGTTTGTTTGTTTGTTTGTTTGTTAGTTTCACCCACTGTGGTTTGTCAGTTTCTGAGAGACAGGCACTAGGATGGCCAATAATATTGTGGATTTCTTGATGTGTTGGTTTTGTTCATTTGTTTTTCCTGCCCCATCCTCTGGGCCCTTAAAGCCTGGGCACATGTGTCCTCTCCTTACGTCTGGGGAAATGGTCTCCATTGAGGGTTTGAGTCTGCGTGGCTTCCGCCTCCCTTCCCTCCTGCTAGAGCCCCTCTGGAAGCTGCTGGAAGCCATGTCCTCCACATCCCCTGGCTCTTCCTTCATCCCATACTTTCTTCTCCCTGACAGAGCTGTCAAGGGGAGTGCCTACACCCCACCTCCATTGCTGCTCACCCTCCCCTGGCCCGTGCTGGGCCTCGGCCATCTCTGGGGCTGTTTCTAGGCCCATCTAAGCGAGGGGTTCCTTAACCTGCCTTGCTTTTGCAGCTGCCTGAACCTCCCTCTAAGGACATCAGCACTCTTCGGAGGCCAGGTCCGGCCTGCTCTGCTGCCTTGGTGGGAAGCTTTCGTCCCTGCAGGGTGGGGTGGGTCTGTCAAGTGTTCGGTGGCCCCTGGCTGGTGCTGTAGCAACACGGGTGTCAGAGGGCGGACACCGAAGCCTGGTGCTCTGTGCGAGTCCCGTTTCCTCGCCTCTCAGCTGTGTGACTCCAGGTGCAGAGGCCCCGCGTGGGGCAGGAGCACTGCAAGCGAGAGGATGGGAAGGTGGCCGTGGGCCTGGCAAGGGTTGGGGAATGTGGTGAGAATGGTGCCCATGGGGTCACGCCAGCCACACACACTTTCTCGAGAAGTTTCAAGTGGAGCCACAGGGCCATTGTGTGTCCTGAATCATTGCTCTGGCTGAGGGAGTCTGGGGACCCATGAGGGCCAGATGGATGGGCTCAGATGGAGTGGGAGGCCATTGGGAAGTGGCTGGTAAAAAGCCTCATGAGGGCAGAGCCCCACTGACCCCACACAGTTACCCATGGTGTCCCTTTCCCCACGTGGTAATTCTGGACTGTTCACAGTGGCTTCCAAGGCCTTTGGGATGGGCCTTGCTTTCTACCCTTCTGCTGGAAACCCTCCCAGCCATTTGAGGTCCTGCCCTCTGCTCACCTTGTTCCCTGTGCCCATGACATCTCCCCACCTTTTCCTGGCTGCTATGTACTGGTCCTATAGGGGTTCCTTAAAGGGTGCATCTTCCAAGCCACTCCTGTTGCCCTCCTCTGCATCCACATCCCTGCTCTGCACACCCCCACCCCAGCAAGTGTGTGTGAGCTCTGTAGTCGTGTCATGGCCCCAGTGATGTCCTCATTCTATCCCTGTCCCTTCATGGCAGAGTGGACTTTGCAGGGTGACTAAGTGAAGGATCCAGAGATGGGGAGATGATCCTGGGTTATCCAGGGGCCCCGAATGTGATCACAAGGGTCCTTCTAAGAGGGAGGCAGGAGGGTCAGTCAGCGGAGAAGACAGGGGGATGGAAGCAGAGCTCAGAGAGGCTGAAGGTGCTGTGCTGCTGGCTTTGAAGACGGAGGAGGGGCCACAGCCCAGGAACGCAGGCAGCTTCTAGAAAACCGGAGAAGGTGAGGAATGAATCAGCCCTAGAGCCTCCAGCAGGTATCAGCCCTGCTGACACCTTGTTAGCCCGGTGAGACTCCTGACCTCCAGTGCTGCAAGATGTCACACACGTGTTGCGCTATGCTTGTGGTAACATGGCACCACAGTGCAGGATGCTGACACAAGCACCAGCACAGCGCCAGGCCCTGGGGTATAGTGTGGATAAGATGGACTGGACCCTACCCTCCTAGGGATGTCCCTCTAGGAGGTGGAGGTGGGGAAATGGGGACAGATATTAGGCCATTATGGCAGAATGCAAGTGTTTAGTTAGAACTGTGCTAAGTGCGTAAAGAGAGCTAAAGGCTACATAATAAGTTGTGAGCCTACCTAGGGTATTAGCAGAGGTGTCCCAAGGAAGCTCCCTGTGAGCCAAACCCCAAAGGATGGGTGGAAATTAGCTCAACTAAGTGGAGAGGTGGGATAGTCATGGGCCAACGCCCCAAGGCAGGAAAGAATAGGCCTGGTCTGTGGGTCTGAGAGGATGGAGAGGGCTGAACACGGGCCAAAGGAGAAAGTTAGGGAGGGAAGGTGGAGTCCCTGGCAGGGGCTCAGCTCAGAACAGGGGGAGCCCCAAAGGATGTGAGGCAAGGGAGCAATGAACAAATCTCACCATTGTGAGATCTGAAATTCAGAACGGTGGCATAGGCCAGAGTAGGACATTGTGAAAAAGAAACAATTAGAGAAGCAGAAAGAGTGCTTGGAAATGTCAATTATGCTGCTGAATTAAAAAAAAAAAAATCAGTAAAAGATGGAAGTAAATCTCCCTGAAAGTGGAATGAAGACTGAAAGACAGAAAATCAGAACACCCAAGAAACATGCAGACTCAATCCAAGGACATCCAATATCCTGCTATTGGAAGTTCCAGAAAGGGAGATGAGAGGAAATAGAGACTAAAGAAAGGGCCCACTGAGAACCTCTAGCAGAAAAGAGCAGCCACTGTGTCATCATGCCCTTCAGGAACAGCAGAGATAAAGACAACATTCTAGAATCTTCTCAAAGAAGTAACAGGCGATTTTCCAAACATGGGCCTCTGAACAGATCAGTCTTTGGTAGAGAAAATTTATGAAGAGAGATGCCTTCAAAATTGTGAAGGAAAATAAAATTCTATACCTAGCCAAAGTATCTATCAAGGGTGAGGATACAGTAAAGACATTTTCAGATACTCAAGAACTTATAAAATTTTTCCAAGTCACTGCAGGAAAAAAGTATAGAATTTGCTTTCTATCCCTTTTCTTAGAAGGTTCTGGAGAATGCACTCCAGCAAAACGTGGGAGGAAACCAGGGAAAAGGAAGGCACCAACAACAAGGAGGCAGAAGACCCTACACAGACAGAACAGGGAGGTCCAAGCCCAGCAGCTGGCTCAGGGCTACAGGCCTCCAGCCCAGGCAGCCCAGGCAGGAGCAGAGGACAGGATACTCCTGAAGAGGCCACCCAGGAAGAGAAAATAGGTGGGACTGGGAAGAAAATCTGCAACGGAGCTTCCAAAACAGCGGAGGATCTCCCTGAGGGAGGTGTTGTTAGAGAAGAGAGCAGAGAAGCAGGAGAACCCAGAAAGGAAATGTGAGCACAGTATACCCCCTGGCTCTGTGGGGGACCCAGGCAGTGGGCATAGATTTCATCAAAACAATGGGGAAGCTGTGCTGGACAGTTAGAGGGTGGACAAAGCCGAGGGTGGGGTGAGAGCTTAAGCCTCACCTTCATACAAGGAAGATTCTAGTAGCTAAGATTGACAAGTCGAGAAACCATGTGGCCAGCATGTCACCAAAAGCTGATAAGAGGACCAGTGATGGGCTTCCCGAGAGTGGAGATGGGCATGCACAATAAGGCCTGGAGGCTGATGATTATCGATAATATAGCAGGCGTGCCCTTTCCACAGCACAAACACCTTGACACACACCGTCACACACACCCATATTCGACACACACATTCACACAAACACACCCAGACACATGCATGCACATGGATAACTAACTCTTCCAGCAAGAGCCACCCCCTGGCTGAAGTGTGAGGCTGTCCATGGAGGGGCCAGAGTAGAGGGGAGGTGGGTGAGGAGGATACGCAGAGGCCCTGGGAGGAGGGAGGCTAGGCCCAGGGGTGGAAAGAAGACAGATACGAGAGGGATTTGGAGACACAATCCCCAGACTTGGGGACGAGCTGGATATGGTGGCGATGGAGGTGAGTCTTCAGGACAGACCCCCTGGTTCTGGCTTGGCCATATGTTGGAGGCTGAAACGATTCATCCAGACAGGAGCAGGGAGGAGGACATGCAGGGCCTGAAAGTTTCTGAGGTGTCCACGTGGAGGTGTTTGCTTGGCAGTTTAGGCTGCAAGGCTCAGCAGGGAGATTGGAGCTGAAAACAGAGGCTGCAACATGGAGGTGGTACCTGAAGAAGGGGTGTGGATGAGGTTGCCTGGCAAGAGATTGCAGGGAGAGGAGAGAGTGAGAATGGGGCCACTCAAGGGGTGAACAGGGCCTTGCAGTACAGGAAGCAGCTGGGGGTGGCGGGAAGAAGACAGTCAGGAGCTTGGGCATCCTAGAGGCCCCCGGGACAGCTTTGAGGAAGGAACGTCCCCACACCACAGAGCCATAGAATTCTGTACTTGGCCTGTCTCAGTGCCGTGCCGCATCCATCCTGCCCCTGGCACCGGAGGGTACACTGATCAGGGACACGAGTTCCCCTGCCGGGCACAGAGCAGGTTCCCAGTGAGTTCTGGGGCCTCAGTGACTGGGCAAGGACAGGGGCGTTTGGACAGGGGAGGCCGGGTGTGGATGGAAGCTGTACGATGGGGCCTGGGCCAGGGATTGTGGGCCAGCTCCGAGCTCAGACATTGGTCTGCACATGTGGCTGGTGCAGGAGGCGCAGTGTGCTGGGCCTCAGCCTGGACACGGCTGTCCCATGCGCAGAGACAGGGTCACGGTGGAAAGAGAGTCCAGAGAACATGGGAGGTGCCGTTTCCCTGCGGCGGGACTGGGGCTGGGGCCCGACTTCCCCGACCCTGCTGTCGGGCGTGTGCCTTCATAGCCCAGGAAGCCAGTTCCTGGCAGGGTGGGCTCTGCAGCCAGGCCGCCAGGGTGCAGACCCAGACCAATGGGAGGCCAAGGGAGGCCCGCAGCCCAGACCTTCCGAGCCCTCAGCCTGCTCAGCTCAGTGTCCTTCCAGGGAAATGGGCGTTTCCTGTGGGAAGGTGCCAGGGGCCCCGGGTGCTGGAAGAGCAAGCACCACGCGGGGGGGTAGGGGCGCCCCAGCCCTCTACTGGCCAGTGTCCCTCCAGTCGTCCAGCCCTTGCTGCCAGGGGCCCCGCCCATGTGCCTGGAATCACACCCTGGACGCTTCCTTCTTTGGGTTAGATGTCGTCGTCTTCAACAAATATTTTCTGAATGTCTGCTATGTACTAGACTCTGGGAACACAGGGGAAAGTATGTGGACCTGCCCATGAGGAAGTCAGTACAGTGGGGCCATGAACAATAAACAGACAATTAATTATCCTTCGCGGAGCTGCGCGGGGGCAGCTCTCCCAAAGCAGTCAGTCATTCACACTTCAGTATGAATGAGTCTCCGGGTACTTTGCTCAGTAACGGACTGGACCAGCGCGGCCTCCACGCCAGGGACTGGGGCAAGGGTGGAGTTTGGAGTAAAGAGAGAGGCAAGGCAACCCCTTTCCACAGACACTTTACCACCTCCCCACATTGACAAGCTGGCTCCCCAGGGCCACCCGGAGCCCCTTCCTCAGATCCTGTCCCCATTGGCATGGTCTCAGCCCCTCCTGCCCCAGTACCCTCTCCCCGAGGCCTCGTCCTCCCCGCCATCCTGGAAACGATTTTGTTGTCTGCAGAGATTATGTGTAACTGCCTGTGAGTTATAAGCCTCCACAGCAAGCAGCCTGTTACCTAACCAGGCCTGGCTCATGCCAATGTCTTGAGTAATTATTGGGGGGCGGGGGCTGTCCAGCCCGCAGCAGAACCTCTCCGAGGGAGTGCTATTGTTTTTCATGTCAGCTGCATTTTAAGGCTACATTTCACGTCAGCTGTGACTTGGAAGGAAAGAGGGCCCGGCCTTTGAAAAATGAAGAAATTGAGCCGGGGTTGGGGGCGGGGAGGGCAAGTTAACCCTTCGGGCTCCAGTATTCCCCAGCTTCCCAGGGTCTCCTGGCAGTAACCAGGCCAGCTGGGGGTCAGAACCCGCGGCCAGGCCCAGCAGCCGCCTCTTGGCAGCGCTGATGGAAACCGCCGTGCGGTTCCGCGCAGACAGTCACGGAAACTCAGGCAGACCCGGCGTTGGGTGCGCCAGGCCGGTGTGGGAGCACTTTCCCCCGCCCCCTCCTGCTGCTGCTTCCCCGAAGGCCTCCCCAGCAGACCTGCAGCTGGGCACCCACAGGGTAGAAATGCCCTGGATTGGCTGTGGCACAAGAGGGATGGCCCAGCACACCCAGCCCACCACTGTGCTCCCAGAGGGAGAACAGAGAGGGGTGCAGAGGGCCAGAGAGGCACGGGGCTCCCCTGGGCACCCCTCGTCTTGGGGCCCCTGCCCTGCCTCCACTCAGAATCCCACTATGTGCTTGGAGCCATGCTGGGTGCTGGGGAGACACACTAACCACTTCCCCATATGCTCACAGCCAGAGAGACACACAGGCCAGCAGCCTGTAAACCACTGGGTGTGGGGTGTCTGGTCCTGGAGTGACAAGGACAGGGAGGAAGAAAGCCAGGCAGGTGGCCCATGAGCCGTGGAGTAGGTGGGGAAGGGGACATCTCCAAGGAGGTGACATCGGAGCAGTCCTCTAAGGAGTTTGGAGTCATTTTCAGTCACTCACAAGCCACAGGAGGGCTTCAGCCTGAAGCTCAGAGGTGATGTGCTTAGATGTCACAGAGCCGGGAGGGGAACAGGCTGGGCTGCAGAGAGGAGGCCAGGCACAGTCACCTCGTGTTGCTGTCCCCCAGGTAGGAGATAAGGGACCAGAGTCAGGGCAGGTGGGAGAAGGGGAGGTTCTTGGTTCAGCTGCTGCTGAGACAGTGACCCTGGGGACAGCCCAAATAAGAGAGAACTTTGCCACCCGCAGGGTCCCAGAGTAGCAGAAGCTTCAGGGCTGATGTGTGCCTGGTGAATCAGCCTGGCCCCAGACCTCCTCTCTCTGCTTGCTTTCCTGTCCACAATCCAGTGCTTCTGTCCTATGGTCCCCAGCGGCTGCTCCTGCATTCACCATCACATCTGCATTCCAGCAGCAGGAGGGAGGTAAAAGACATGAAGGACAGGCCCCACTCCTGTAAAACCCTACACAGAAGCGGCCCACGTCATCCCCCTTTCTGTCCACCCGCCGGAATGTGACGCACGCCTGAGTCGCTGCAAGGGCCCCTGGGGACGGAGTCTCTATTCCAGGCAGGCAAACACTCAGCTTAATTCAGGGTTCTGTTGATTAAAAAAAAAAAGTGGGGTCGGGGGGGCGGGGGAGAGCGGCTATGGAGACAAGTGGCTGTTTTGCCAGAGGGAAAATTCCACATGTGGCTTGGAGGCCAGACCAGAAGGACTCAGATAGGAGTTGGGCGCTTGAGGGAGGAAATGGGGGTACACTTCAGCGGCTCAGGCCAGGGTGTAAGTAGCAGGTATGTGGTGGTACTGTTTTCCGGAATGAAGAGGAAGGGGCGGGCAGAAGGCAGCGAGAGCTTTGTTTGGGGTGTGTCGAATTCAAGATGCCTCTGAGACATGGAAGTGGTGAGGTCAGGGGCCGGGAACCCTATGGTGGTGTTGGCCCTGAGTCCAAGCCAGGCACCACCGGGCACATAGAGGTCTTGAAAGCTCGAATGTGGGGAGGCCAGCAACAGAGGGAACACTACCTGCAAAGGGGCGAGGGCAGGACAAAGGCTGGCAGCACCACACAGGAGCCAGCAGGGAAGGGGCCACAGCCGGGACTCAGAGGAGGCAGCCACGTGCAGAAAGGCACCCATGGGAACATGGCTCCTGGGAGCTGGAGGACTTCAGCAGGCATGGACTAGCACCCAAGAAGACAACTCTGAGAAGTCAGGACAGGAGATGGTGTCGTCAGGGGGCTGCTGGAAGGTTTGGTGACCGGAGCAGCAGGTGCCAGAGCTGAAAGCACTGGTTAAACGTGATGGGTAAACACATGTCTATTTCAGCTTCTTTGAATCCCACTAAGGTGACAGTAAAGGCATGAAAAACATGGAAACATGTAAATCAACTAGGGTAAAGTGGTCAGGAGAAAAGAGGAGACCAAAAATATGTTGACAAAGGTTTGGAAGCTGGGAAGCAGGAGGACAGATGGAGACTGGCCTAGGAGACTGGAGAGGGTAGACACCAAGCCCTGCAGGAAGAAGAGCCACCAAGAATGAGGCAGTTCCCAACCCAGGACCCTGACAGGCAGGTCTCACCCCAGCCCATGAAGCCAGATGCTACTGATTCTCAAGCTCAGCTAGAGACAGGTTGAGTCTCCAGAAAAGCTGAGCCTGAGAGGTTCTGAACTTGGAGCCACCAGGAGCAGTTGTAGGTGGGGCAGGAGCTCTTGTGATGAAAACAACAGGGATTCAGTAAANGCATTCCATCTAAAAAGGAAGAACTCCTCCCCCACTTCCCTCATCAACTCCCAGAATGCCCGGTGGGGCACACCATTGTTTTCAGAACACCAGCAATAAAGCAGACACTCCACATTTCCAGAGAGAAAAAGTAAGTCACACACAAGAGAATAGAAAATCAAAACGGTATCCAATTTCTTAACAGCAATTCAGAAAGCTAGCACATAGTAGAGAAATGCCTTCAAACATCTGAGGGAAAAAATGATTTCCCATCCAGAATTCTATACCTAGTCAAACTCTCAGGTATGAGAATAGAATAAAGACATTTCCAAACATGCACAGTCAAAAATTGTATCTACCACATGCCTTTTCTCAGAAAGTTACTTGAGGACGTGCTCTAGCAAAATGAGAGGAAAAAACAAAGAAAGAGAAACACAATTCAAGAACCAGGGAGACTCCAACACCAAAAACAAAAGGCCAAGAGAATTTTCAACATGAGTGAAAGAAGTTCTAGCATTACAGCTGCTCAGCATGCCTACAGTGCAAACAGTCCTGCTAAGACTCCAGGAAGAAATCCCAGAAGAAAAAAAAAATGAAGGTGATAGACTGCCAGTATTCTCAATAGGATGAAAGAAGTTTTACAATTCTTACAGAAAGTTCAAGAATGAATTAGTGACAGATGCAGTAAAAAACAAGCAAAACCTAAGGCCATTTGTAACCCAAGGGAAAACAAGAAGATGTAATCATAACAGACCACAGGACACAGCTAAAAACAGTGATTACATAGTGACATAAAGAGTTATATACTGTTTGTGTAAAACGCAAACAGTAAGTACTTATTTAGCCTAGAATTCTAATTTAACTGTATTGGAAAGATAAGGGAGTGGGGAGGGCAGGGGCATGAGAACAAAATCTTGATCACTTCTCTTCCATGTTAGGCAGTCACTAGATAATGTCTAAAGTGACAAAATTTCAAGGAACAGCAATGTAAATGTGTAGTTTGGAAATACCAAGGTAAAGCCAAGAGATAGTCGGTAGGGTTGAAGGGCTGCCTCTGGGAACAGAAATTAGAGATAGAAGATCTAGCGCCCAGGGAAGGCTGTTTAAAGATGGGAGAGCTTCACGGGTTTTCTCACTAAGGGTAAGAAAATCTAAGAAGGAAGTGATGGTGCCAGAGAATAGGGAATTCTGCCAATACCCTGGTGGGGAGGGGGAGGGGGAAGGGGAAGAGGATGAGAAGGAAGGAGGAGGGAAGAGGAAGGAAGAGGGAGGAGGAAGGAGGAGGAAAGAGGAGGAAGGAGGAGGGAGGAAGAAGGAAGAGAGTTGAGGGAGGAAGAGAGAGAAGGTAGAGATTGGCCAAAGGAGCTCTGAGAGGGGAAGGTGGGTGCATGCCACCCTGGCTGGGAACAGCAGGTGTGTGGTGAAGGGGAAAGACCAGCAGGCCCTTTACACCGTGGGCACAGGCTCAGGACTGGCTGCGGTGCTACGCAGGAGCCTCTGACTAGCTGGGGCTGGGGCTTTGCAGGATAAGGCCAGTGAGAGAAGAGGATTCACTGGTGGGTGCCTCCTCCCCACCTTTAGCAAGGGTTGACAGAGGGATCTGGGCTCTTCCCTGGGCAGGCATCCCAGAGCTATGACCTGAATGATATCTTAGATGATCTCCAAGGCCCCGGGATCTAAGTCCCTGTTAAGTCCCCTGTTAAAGGACCTAGGTCCTCCCAATGGCCTGCAAACCACACCCAGTCTAGTCAGCATGTATCCCCACACCCCAGTCCCAGTGTCCCAAGAACCTCTTCCTCCAGCCCCGGGAGCAGGAAGGGCGGGCTGGGAGCTGCAGGATGGGGCCTGAATCTCTCATCAACTCACAGGGTCAGCCTGGGCCAGGCAGGCTGGGGGCCAGCCCAGGACCTCCTTCCTGGGTGGAGACCTTCCCACCCTTCCACTCACCTTCCGAGCATTGTGGGCCTTCCCAGGAACCCCCACATCTCCGTGGCCCTCAGACCTCTGACCTCCCAAGGGCACCCCACGTGTGTGCCCTCCAGCACCCTGGCCACAGAGCCACACACCTGGGCCTTCCCCTCTCCCCATCATCAGGTAACCCAGCACAGGCTGGCCCAACCCCTCTCTAGGCCTCAGCTTTCCTGTCAGGAAAATGCAGGGTTAGGAGCTGACCAGGGAGTCTTTGAAACCGCAAGGGTACCCTTGGGAGACCCCGTGCAGGTCTTGTCAAGGCAGGACAGGGAAGTGGTGATGATGAGAGGCAGCTGGTCTGGGTGCTCAGCCCCACCCCAGCACCCGCCCAATGGGCCCCCTGAGGGAAGCTGCCCATGCTCTCTGCGCCCCATTTTCTGGCCTCTGGCATGCAGATGGCAGCCCTGCCTGCTTCCCAGTATGGCTGTGAAGCCAAAGGCGGCGATCAATGGGATGTTCTCAGAATGACAGGTGCTCTGTGATCAGCAGCAGCTGCTACAGGGATGGCCATCGGGTGCAGGGCAGGATGTCCCTGAGGAGGCACCTCAGCAGACGTGATGGGTGCCTGTGCCCACAGTTGGGCCATGAGAAGAAGTACGTGGCCCGGCCTGCCCTACACCATCAGGGGGTGCTTGGACCAGTGGCGGCTGGAAATAACCCATGAACAGGGGAGAGAAGGGGTGAATGCCTTGTAGGCCTGGAACACTGTGGGGCTGTCGAAGGTGCTTCTGCCTCCAGGAAGCCCTCCCTGACTGTGGAGACACAAGAAGCTCTCCAGGTCTCTGGGTCCCTCTGGTACTCTGTGCCCTGAACCACCACCCTTAGGCCCAGATCTATTCCTGATCCTTCTCTAGACTTCAGTCAGTTTCCTCTTGATGTCCTGGATGGCCACAACCATAGTGTCCCCTCCGCTCCTCTCTCCCCCACTTCCTTCCACATTGCCCCTCCTCCCCTCTCCCCTTCCCCACCACTGCTCCCCTCCTTCCTCCAGCACCCTTCTCCCCGCTGCCCTCCCCTCCCCTCCCCGCTGCCCTCCTCTGCCTCTCTCCGTTGCCCCCTCCTCCCTCCCCCACCAGAGCCCTGGAAGGCTAGGTACAGCGAGGAAGTGGCCACTCCATGACCCCCAGTGATTTCACTTCTCTGAGCCTCAAGAGTCTCACCTGTCCAGGGTCCATGGGATATGCCTGACTCAGCCCCTGGCACATGGTCTTGCAGTGGCCTGAGCTGGACATGCCCCTGGTAGGAAGCTGGAAAGGAGGCCCTGCCCGTGTACCAGGAGCCTCTGCTCCAGGGGGGTGGCCTGAGGCCCAGGCAGACCTCCACCTCCAGGCAGCCCTGCAGGTGGACAGCTGGGCCTCAGGCTTAGGACCTGGGACAACTGCCTAGACTACCCCCAGCCTTCCTGACAGGTGATAGCTTCATTGTCCCCAGGACACACACCAGCCCGGTCCCCACCCTACCCTTTCCCACCACCCCTGAGGGAAGGCCTGGCCCCTCACGCACAATTGGGGTTGCCCGGCATCTTGGCAGATGGGCAGCGTTAGAGAAGCCTTGGACCTGGGCCCTTGCAAACGGAGGTACCAGAGGGCTGAACTAGATGAGGGACTTGAAGGCTCAGATGCCTGTGCGGGACCTGGCAGGGTGGGGGCTTCCGGGCTGGGAGACTAGGACAGGGTGCCTGTGTCCCCTCCTGGGAGTGGGGCCGTCAGAGCTCCGACCGCACAGGGTCATGGGGAGCAAGAGGAACCAGGATACCCACAAGCTGCTCGCTCAGACGGGCTCTGCGACTCCACAACTCACCTTCCCCTACTGCAAGATCAGGGAGATGGGACGCAGTCCCCGCCCATGCCCAGGGCCTTGGCAGGGTCAGGAGAGCCAGTGCAGGCAAAGCACCAAGCACCCTGCTGCCTGGGAGACCACAGTTGCAGCAGGAAGCCCTCCTCAGGTCTGCCCGCCTCCCCGGAGCATGTTCCCTCTGTAGCTCCCGGTAGGGCCTGTGTGGAGAAGGTTGCTGATGGCATCACTGAGCGGCCCAGCTGTGGGGTGAAAGGCAAGGCTGGGGCTGATGCTCCCCAAGGCAGGAGGAGACCATGGTCTGGCTGGGGCTGCCCCAGGTGACAACTGTAGGGTGTGGGGAAGGTGGCTGCCACCGCCGTGGTCCACAGGGCCTGGCCAGGGCTCCATGGGGCAGAAGCCATGCCCAGCTCAGGGGGCTTCACTCCACTCTCCCACTTTGACCTGGTCCCTCCCCTCTCCCCCAGAGTGACCTGGACACTAGCCTCCTCCCAGTGGGAGACAGATGTGGGCAATGCAGCTGCTGTTCCCTGCTCAGGGCAGGCTGGTGCCCAAGGACTGCCCACCAGACCAGGGGATAAGAGGTTGGCAGCATCGTCCATGGTTATCCCACAGCTAGGAGGCTGTGGGTGTGGGAGAACATGCTGGGTAGGGGTGCCTGTGTGCCTCTGGAGTCGAGGCAATTAGAGGCCCTGTGGAAGCCCCTGCACGCAAGGGGCCCACGCGCCAGGGCAGAGGACATAGCCCCTTCTTGCTTCCCTGAGGGACGGGAGGCCTGTGGACTTCTGGAGACAATGGCAGAGTCAGGGCAGCCAAGCCGGGCCAGTGCCCTGGAGCCGAGTCCTCCCCCCACCTGCCCACATGCCCCACCCCTCTCCAAGCTTCTCCCCTCATAGGATCCCAGAGCCCCTTGGGACCTCTGTGAAGACTGCATAGATGTGAGGGAGTCTCAGCCTTAGGGTGGGCACCTGGGCGCAGCTGTCAGGCCCCAAGTCAGCCCCAGGCACGTGGACCTGGGAGCCAGCCTCAAGGGCAGGGGTCCCCGAGCATCCCCACTGCTGCCCCGCCAGCAACCGTGTCACTGGGAGGCAAGAGGCTGGGTTCCTGGGGTGGGCAGGCTTCCCCGCTTCACTCCATTTGCAGCCCCTGTCTTGCAGAGGCAAAATGGAGGTTCAGAGAGGTGAGCAAACACCAGGTCCCATGTTTGCACCTGGCTGTGACCGTGCAGTCCACTGGGCCCAGCAGCAGGAACTGGGGCAAGTGCCCCGAGACGGGACCGAGACAACAGTGGGGAAGGTGGGACAGGCANCTGGGGGAAGGCCAGAGTGTCCAGCACCAGCGCCAGGGGCCGTTCCGACAGGCTGAGGAACGGCGGGGAGCGGGGCTTGCCAAATATGTCCAGATGGGGCTGGAGCCCCANCAACTTCCTGCCCTCCCAGCCTGCTCCCCCACCTCCTCACCCCCTTCCCAGGCTGTCAGCAGGGGCTGGGGGGCAGCAGAACCCCACTTAGCCACAAGGAGTGCAGCCAGGGGCTGGCTCCCGGGAGGACATGGGCAGAGGCTTAGGTCCCCTTACACACACACACTGCTGCATTCGTGCAGGATGGGCTCAGCGCCTGCTGTGCCTGGCGTGGCTGTGTGCATGGCATGGTGGTGGCATGGTGGGAGTGGTGTGGCACATGGTGTGGCACATGGCATGGCTGGGGCTGGGGCTGGGTTGTGTAGCATGTGGAGTGGCAAGGTGCGTGACATGGTGTATGGCATGGTAGTGTGCCCCTCGAGCCATGTGTCCAGGTGGGGCAGATCATGGAGGGCGCCCAGGTGCGGTGCTGAGGCTGAGCATGCACTGGCTGGGGAGGGTGGGCAGAGCAGGAGGAAATCCCTTGTTCTCCGGAGCTGGAGAGCCAGAAAGAGCCCTGCAGCCTGGGCCTCATCATCACACCTCGCCCTCAAGGCCTCCAGGCACAGCATCCACTGCCAGCCTCTGCTCCTGCCTCTGAGGGTCTGTCTCCAAGGTCTTTTGGGGGCTGCCCCAGCTCCCCCAACACAGACAGCACCAGAGCTGGGCCCACCTGTGAGGTGCTGAGTTCCCCATCTCAGAGACTGTGCGAGCAGAGGCAGGGAGGCGCTTGATGTCGGATGGAGAAAGGACAGGGGAGGGGTGTGGGGCTAAGGGCCCCGCCAGGTGAAGGAACAAGCTTGGAAGGGTGTCGTTATGTATGAGAGTTGGGGAGACACCCCCAAGCCCCAGATGGGCTTCGAATGCCAGGCAGGGCCAAGCTGGGCCCAGAAGTGGGAAGGATCCCTTGGCTGCCCCAGGAATGCAGGTTCCGGGGCAAGAATCCAGCCCTGGCTGGTTGAAGTCCATCCCAAGTCTCCCTCCCCACGAGGCTCCTGCAGATGCCAGGAATGGGGCTGGATTCCAGATTCCAAGCCTGGCCGCCCAGCCCCTATCTGGGACCCCAGCCCAGAGCCCCCAGGCCTGGCCTCCAACCTGGCCCCAGCCTCAGGGGAGCTGAATTCAGAGAATCCTGTCCTAGGAGCCAGAAGCGGGGGAGGGAGGGAGGCCGCCCTTCTCTTGGGTGCAGGCCAGGGGGCTGGGGCTGCCCGCCCGTTTTGGTTAACCGGAAGTGCCAACCCGCCCCTGGCGGATTAGTGGGCCTTCATTTTCCAGCCTTGCTTGAGGTGGGAATAGCAGTGAGGTTGGACATCCAGGCACCTGGAAGGTGGGCAGGGCTCCCTGCGGCTGGGGTGGCCAGTGGCACCTGGCTGTTGCCCCCCTGCACCCCAGCCCTTTGGCCCCCAAGTGTCTGCCACCTCCCTGGGGTTCTGCTCCCATATTCCTCACACCCAGCACAGAACCCAGCATGTCTCCTGTAGACACCTGCATATAAACCCTGACTCACACACACACACACACACACACACACACGCACACATGCAGGCCAGGCTCCTCGGCCAGTCACCCTACCGGCAGAGCTCTAGACATTTCTGGCCTCTGGTGACTATTCTTCAGGCAGCTCACCCTGCAAGTCTTTATTGAGCACCTACTGTGTGCCAGGCAGTGGTACAGCAAGGGCAGAAGCCCCACCTCCAAGGAGCTGACCCCCTGCCGTGGCAGAGACAGAAAACAAAGGCAGCACCACAGCGACGAGGGCCTGAGAGGAAAGTGGAGCAGGAGCCTGCAGCATGCTGGGGCAGGGGTGTCTTTAGAAAGGGTACTGGGAGGGCCCTGGCAAGGGACTTAAGTAATTACTTAAAGGAGGGAAAGGGTGGCCTGGGGCTCACAGAGGAAAAGCCTTCCTCATGGAGGCGGCGGGGCATCGGGCTCACCCTGCATTGTCCAGGAGCGACGGGAAGCCTCGTGGGGCTGTTGGGAGACAGCAAGACCTGGGTCAGCAGAGCACCGTGTGGGGTAAGCAGATGACAGGGCAGTGACAGGTGATTCGGCCCCGGTCAGTGGTCCCAGGGGTCGGGGACAGGTGGGAATCGAAGTCATAGGAGGCGGGGCAAAGGCCACGGGGAAAGGGACAGAGCTGCTCCCAAGGACGCACCACCATGGGGTGCCCCATGGCGTGGCGGGGGTGGGGGTCAGGACCTTTAGCAGAAGGTAAAGATGAGACCAAGAGGCAGATGGGTGGAAGAGTTGAAAGCAGCCAAGTGTCACCAAGGCATTTCTGAGGGAGAGGGACACGACTAGTGGCTCAAATCTTTAGAAATGAGGGGATGGGTCTGGTAGAGCACCCCAGATTCAAGGCGGGTGGCTTGGGGAAAGCAGGGAGAAGGGTCTGGAAACTGCTGCTGAGCAGGAGCCCCCACACCCACAGAGCAGGTGCAGGGAGGCCCATCTGTCCATCCGTCTGTCTGTGGGGAGGCATGGTGACGTTTCAGCCCGGAGGTAGAAGTTTTCACCCAGGAGGTAGAGGGTGAGGCCGGACTGCACTCCAAGGGGAGGAGGTGGGAGAGCACAGCCTGGCTGCTGCCACCAAGCTCCCCAGAAGAGGGGACCCCTCCCCCCGAACACCAGCACATGTAGGCAGAAAGACTTGGCGTGTGGAGCCCTCAGCTTCCACGCCCACCAGCAGGGACTGGGTGGTGATGTCAGCAATCCCCACAGAAAGGAGGGCTGCACAGCCGTCCCAGGAGCCAGCACTGTCCCCGTGATTCTACATGCAGCCTCCACAAGTGTGTCGCATGGAAACAAGCAGTGGAGAGCCACATGTGTGTCACATCACGCCTCGCCTCACTCGTGCTAAACCTCGCTGACCAGGCAGAACCAGGCACGAGCTGCGTATCAAAGTTGCTGGAAGGAGAAACATCAGATCCCTAAGCTGGTTACCTGGCAGGCAGGGGCCCTAGAGGGAAATGGGGCAGGTGAAATGGAGATGTGTCTTTGAAATGTCTTTATTTGGCGGGAGAACGTCTTCATAGGGTACTTATACCATGAAAAACCCTGTACACAGACTAATTTTGAAGCAAACATGTGAGGCGTTCACAGAAAGGGTTCAGGAAGACAAGCACCCCAGCCGCAGAGAGCCCGTGGGCTGGGGGCACGGGGCATGGCAACCCTCTCCTGGGGATGGGCAGGATGGGGCACGTAGGGCGGAGGAAGAGGCTCACATGGTGTGCGTGTTTGGGAGCACCCTGGGCAGCCTCTCGAGTGTCCAGAGAGAGGACACCGTCTTGAGCCAGCAGGGACAGCCAAGAGCGCCCGGGGAGAGGCCTGGGTGGAGACAGAACACAGCAGGCTGTGGGCGTGGCCAATGTTGAGGGACGGAGGTGGCCAGAGGCCTCTCAGTGGTGCCCCAGGGAGCTGGGGACGAGGGGCCTCATCCTTCCCCTGAGCCCCTCCCTTCAGGCCCAGGGAGTGGCCTGGGGCCCAGGAGAGCCCGCTCCGCGCTCACAGCCTCCGTTCCCAGACACGCCCGGGCCTGAGCCCCCAGGCTGCACTGTGCCACAGAACAGACTCCCCGGCCCCTCCCTGCTCGAGAGGTGACCAAGGCCCAGGGTCTCCCAGCGAGCAAGAGGCCATTGAACTGTTGTTGGCTGTGCAGTGCCCTGCCCTCGGGGAGGCGGCCTCTAAGAAGCACACACCACCAGCAGGAACCGGGCAGACAGAGGTGGGGGATGGAAAGCAGGGGAAGTGGCCACAGCCAAACCAGGAGGGGGAAGGGAGGGGGCCTCACCAAGGAGACCCTCACCTGGGGCCTGGAGAATGAGAAGGGTCTGGAGGCTAAGGAGAGGGGTGGATGCTCCAGGAGGCAGGGCCAGCCCATGTGAGGGTCCTGAGGTAGGAACCAGAGGAAACCGGCTCTGGGGCGAGAAGGGCAGCGCCCAGGGGGCCACAGGGGCCGGCGGCGAGGGACCCTCAGCCGAGGCTGGTATCTCGAGAACAGCAGGGATGCCTCAAAGGTTCTCGCCCAGCAAGTGGACATTGTGGTGTGGGAGATCAGCAGGTGCCGGTGCTTTCTCTGTCTGCAGGAAGGAGAGGGGGTGATGGGCCCCAGAGGCCTCTGTCTTAGAGAAAAATGGTGGCAACGTGGGACAGACTGAGGAAGCCAGCCCAGAAACGTCCCGTCCCAAATTCAGGAATATTTAGGGTATACCTGCTGCACGCCAAGGGCAGTTTCAGGAAGGGGACCTACTTCTGAGAAGCAAACACCACCAGTAGGGACCAGGCAGACAGAGGTGGGGATGGAAGGAAGCCAGACTGACCTCACGTGGCTCACAGCCACTGGCAGGGTCGGGGGACAGGTGCCAAACTATCCACATGCCCGTCAGGCACCTGGAGGAGTGTGAAACGGCATGCAGAAAGAAGGAAGCAGGCTTGGGGCTGGGGGCCAGGGACCGGCGCGCTGGGAAGCAGGCTGCAGAGTGAGGCCAGGGATGGGGGCTGGGCCAGACCACAGGGTTGTGAGCGGACTCTGGCATTGATCCGGAGCCACTGAGGGTTAGAGCCTATGACAGGGGTCTGACTTCCAGTGGTATGGGGCCACCCTGCTGGGCTGGGGAAGGGAGGCGAGAGGAAGTATCTAAGGTCTGCTTGTGGACTTCCGGGGACAGCGAGGGGTATTGCAGGGGTCCTAGGGGCTGGTGCAATTCAGAGGTTCCAGATGGCCCAGCAAGTGGCTGAGGGCCCAGGGTAGGGGAGGATGTGGGGGCAGCAGGGCCGATGTGGGCAGACGTGGAGCAATGACACGAGAACGGCCAGGCAGCCNTGGGTTTTCCCTGCCCACCTGCCCCGTGGCCGGGTTGGGGTTTGGCTGAGGCAGCAGAGCGCTCGCTGGCTGCCCGAACAAAGTGTTCTGCNTGGTGTCCCTGGCAATCCGGGCTTCTGCGGGCTCGCCAGAGGGGGCAGCTCAGGAGGCAGCGGCAGAGAATCAAATGCAGGTGGGGCGTGTGCCCACCGCCAGCACAAACACGGATCATGGGCCCCCAGCCTGCCGGAAGTTCCTGCCCGCCTGGCCCCCAAACAGAGGCCGATGGGACGAGCCCTGCCCGGGGTTGCACTAGGTGGGCAGGTGGGCAGGTGGGCAGCTGCCTCGGGTTTTTGGACAGAGCCGCCCCTGCCTGGCGTCTGCCGGCAGGAAGCTCCTGAGGCCGGGCTAGGGATAGGCCAGCCCTTGGGGGAGGCTCGAGACCCCATCCNANC